>NT_187502.1:0-198735 GCF_000001405.40 Homo sapiens | reverse complement strand
GATCTGTTAGTTGAATACACACATCACAAACAAGTTTCTGAGAATGCTTCTGTCTAGTTTTTATTTGAAGATATTTCCTTTCTCACCACAGGCCTGAAAGCGCTTGAAACGTCCGTTTGCAGATACTACAGAAAGAGTGTTTCAAACCTGCTCTATGAAAGGGAATGTTCAGTTCTGTGACTTGAATGCAAACATCAGAAAGAAGTTCCTGAGAATGCTTCTCCCTAGCTTTTATATGTAATCCCGTTTCCAACGAAATCCTCAAAGCTATCCAAATATCCACTTTCAGATTCTACAAAAAGAGTGTTTCAAAACTGCTCTGTAAAAAGAAAGGTTCATCTCTGTTAGTTGAATACACACATCACAAACAAGTTTCTGAGAATGCTTCTGTCTAGTTTTTATGGGAAGATATTTCCTTTTTCATCATAGGCCTCAAAGCGCTCCAAATGTCCACTTCCAGGTAGTGCACTGAGTGTTTCAAACCTGGTATATAAAAGGGAACATTCTACTCTGTGACTTCAATGAAAACATCACAGAGAAGTTTCTGACAATGCTTCCGTCTAGATTTTATATGAGGATATTCCCGTTTCCAACGAAACCATCAAAGCTATCCAAATATCCACCTGCAAATCCTACAAAAGAGTGTTTCCAAAATGCTGTATCAAAACAAAGGTTCAACTCTGTTAATTGAGATCACACATCGCAAATAAGTTTCTGAGAATGCTTCTGTCTAGTTTTTATTTGAAGATATTTCCTTTTTCACCACAGGCCTGAAAGTGCTTGAAACGTCCGCTTGCAGATACTACAGAAAGAGTTTTTCAAACCTGCTCTATGAAAGGGAATGTTCAGTTCTGTGACTTGAATGCAAACATCAAAAAGAAGTTCCTGAGAATGCTTCTCCCTAGATTTTATATGTAATCCCGTTTCCAACGAAATCCTCAAAGCTATCCAAATATCCACTTTCAGATTCCACAAAAAGAGTGTTTCAAAACTGCTCTGTAAAAGGAAAGGTTCATCTCTGTTAGTTGAATACACACATCACAAACAAGTTGCTGAGAATGCTTCTGTCTAGTTTTTATGGGAAGATACTTCCTTTTTCATCATAGGCCCCAAAGCGCTCCAAATGTCCACTTCCAGGTAGTGCACAGAGTGTTTCAAACCTGCTCTATGATAGGAAGTGTTCAACTCTATGAGTTGAAGGCAAACATCACAGAGAAGTTTCTGACAATGCTTCTGTCTTGATTTTATATGAGGATATTCCCGTTTCCAACGAAACCATCAAAGCTATCCAAATATCCACCTGCAAATCCTACAAAAGAGTGTTTCCAAAATGCTGTATCAAAACAAAGGTTCAACTCTGTTAATTGAGATCACACATCGCAAATAAGTTTCTGAGAATGCTTCTGTCTAGTTTTTATTTGAAGATATTTCCTTTTTCACCACAGGCCTGAAAGTGCTTGAAACGTCCGCTTGCAGATACTACAGAAAGAGTTTTTCAAACCTGCTCTATGAAAGGGAATGTTCAGTTCTGTGACTTGAATGCAAACATCAAAAAGAAGTTCCTGAGAATGCTTCTCCCTAGATTTTATATGTAATCCCGTTTCCAACGAAATCCTCAAAGCTATCCAAATATCCACTTTCAGATTCCACAAAAAGAGTGTTTCAAAACTGCTCTGTAAAAGGAAAGGTTCATCTCTGTTAGTTGAATACACACATCACAAACAAGTTTCTGAGAATGCTTCTGTCTAGTTTTTATGGGAAGATATTTCCTTTTTCATCATAGGCCTCAAAGCGCTCCAAATGTCCACTTCCAGGTAGTGCACAGAGTGTTTCAAACCTGCTCTATGATAGGAAGTGTTCAACTCTATGAGTTGAAGGCAAACATCACAGAGAAGTTTCTGACAATGCTTCTGTCTTGATTTTATATGAGGATATTCCCGTTTCCAACGAAACCATCAAAGCTATCCAAATATCCACCTGCAAATCCTACAAAAGAGTGTTTCCAAAATGCTGTATCAAAACAAAGGTTCAACTCTGTTAATTGAGATCACACATCGCAAATAAGTTTCTGAGAATGCTTCTGTCTAGTTTTTATTTGAAGATATTTCCTTTTTCACCACAGGCCTGAAAGTGCTTGAAACGTCCGCTTGCAGATACTACAGAAAGAGTTTTTCAAACCTGCTCTATGAAAGGGAATGTTCAGTTCTGTGACTTGAATGCAAACATCAAAAAGAAGTTCCTGAGAATGCTTCTCCCTAGATTTTATATGTAATCCCGTTTCCAACGAAATCCTCAAAGCTATCCAAATATCCACTTTCAGATTCCACAAAAAGAGTGTTTCAAAACTGCTCTGTAAAAGGAAAGGTTCATCTCTGTTAGTTGAATACACACATCACAAACAAGTTGCTGAGAATGCTTCTGTCTAGTTTCTATGGGAAGATACTTCCTTTTTCAACATAGGCCCCAAAGCGCTCCAAATGTCCACTTCCAGGTAGTGCACTGAGTGTTTCAAACCTGCTCTATAAAAGGGAACATTCTACTCTGTGACTTGAATGAAGACATCACAAAGCAGTTTCTGAGAATGCTTCCGTCTATATTTTATGTGAAGATATTCCCGTTTCCAAGGAAATCTTCCTAGCTATCTAAATATCAACTTGCAGATTCTACTAAAGGAATGTTTCCAAAATGCTGTATCCACACAAAGGTTCAACTCTGTTAATTGAGGACATACAGCACAAAGAAGTTTCTGAGAATGCTTCTGTCTAGATTTTATATGAAGATATCCCGTTTCCAACGAAATCCTCAAAGCTATCCAAATATCCACTTGCAGATTCTACAAAAAGAGTGCTTCAAAACTGCTCTGTCAAAAGTAAGGTTCAACTCTGTTAGTTGAATACACACATCACAAACAAGTTTCTGAGAATGCTTCTGTCTGGTTTTTAGGAGAAGATATTTCCTTTTTCAACATAGGCCTGAAAGCGCTGCAAATGTCCACTTCCAAATATTAGAAAAAGGTTGTTTCAAATCTGCTGTATGAAGGGAAGTGTTCAACTCTATGAGTTGAATGCAAACATCACAGAGAAGTTTCTGAGAATGCTTCTGTCTGATTTCATATGAAGATATTCCCGTTTCCAACGAAACCTTCAAAGCTATCCAAATATCCACTTGCAGATTCTACAAAAAGAGTGTTTCCAAAATGTTGTATCAAAAGAAAGGTTCAACTCTGTTAGTTGAGGACACACATCGCAAATAAGTTTCTGAGAATGCTTCTGTCTAGTTTTTATTTGAAGATATTTCCTTTCTCACCACAGGCCTGAAAGCGCTTAAAACGTCCGCTTGCAGATACTACAGAAAGAGTGTTTCAAACCTGCTCTATGAAAGGGAATGTTCAGTTCTGTGACTTGAATGCAAACATCACAAAGAAGTTCCTGAGAATGCTTCTCCCTAGATTTTATATGTAATCCCGTTTCCAACGAAATCCGCAAAGCTATCCAAATATCCACTTTCAGATTCCACAAAAAGAGTGTTTCAAAACTGCTCTGTAAAAAGAAAGGTTCATCTCTGTTAGTTGAATACACACATCACAAACAAGTTTCTGAGAATGCTTCTGTCTAGTTTTTATGGGAAGATATTACCTTTTTCATCATAGGCCTCAAAGCGCTGCAAATGTCCACTTCCAAATATTACAAAAAGAGTGTTTCAAACCTGCTGTATGAAGGGAAGTGTTCAACTCTATGAGTTGAATGCAAACATCACAGAGAAGTTTCTGAGAATGCTTCTGTCTTGATTTTATATGAAGATATTCCCGTTTCCAACGAAACCTTCAAAGCTATCCAAATATCCACTTGCAGATTCTACAAAAAGAGTGTTTCCAAAATGTTGTATCAAAAGAAAGGTTCAACTCTGTTAGTTGAGGACACACATCGCAAATAAGTTTCTGAGAATGCTGCTGTCTAGTTTTTATTTGAAGATATTTCCTTTCTCCCCATAGGCCTGAAAGCGTTTGAAATGTCCGTTTGCAGATACTACAGAAAGAGTGTTTCAAACATGCTCTATGAAAGGGAATGTTCAGTTCTGTGACGTGAATGCAAACATCACAAAGAAGTTCCTGAGAATGCTTCTCTCTAGATTTTATATGTAATCCCGTTTCCAACGAAATCCTCAAAGCTATCCAAATATCCACTTTCAGATTCCACAAAAAGAGTGTTTCAAAACTGCTCTGTAAAAAGAAAGGTTCATCTCTGTTAGTTGAATACACACATCACAAACAAGTTTCTGAGAATGCTTCTGTCTAGTTTTTAAGGGAAGATATTTCCTTTTTCATCATAGGCCTCAAAGCGCTCCAAATGTCCACTTCCAGATAGTGCAGAAAGAGTGTCTCAAACCTGGTATATAAAAGGGAACATTCTACTCTGTGACTTCAATGAAAACATCACAAAGCAGTTTCTGAGAATGCTTCCGTCTAGATTTTATATGAAGATATTCCCGTTTCCAACGAAACCTTCAAAGCTATCCGAATATCCACCTGCAGATTCTACAAAAAGAGTGTTTCCAAAATGCCGTATCAAAACAAAGGTTCAACTCTGTTAGTTGAGAACACACATGGCAAATAAGTTTCTGAGAATGCTTCTGTCTAGTTTTTACTTGAAGATATTTCCTTTCTCACCATAGGCCTGAAAGCGCTTGAAACGTCTGCTTGCAGATACTACAGAAAGAGTGTTTCAAACATGCTCTATGAAAGGGAATGTTCAGTTCTGTGACTTGAATGCAAACATCACAAAGAAGTTCCTGAGAATGCTTCTCTCTAGATTTTATATGTAATCCCGTTTCCAACGAAATCCTCAAAGCTATCCAAATATCCACTTTCAGATTCCACAAAAAGAGTGTTTCAAAACTGCTCTGTAAAAAGAAAGGTTCATCTCTGTTAGTTGAATACACACATCACAAACAAGTTTCTGAGAATGCTTCTGTCTAGTTTTTATGGGAAGATATTTCCTTTTTCAACATAGGCCTCAAAGCGCTCCAAATGTCCACTTCCAGGTAGTGCAGAAAGAGTGTTTCAAACCTGCTCTATAAAAGGGAATATTCAACTGTGTGACTTGAATGCAAACATCACAAAGCACTTTCTGAGAATGCTTCCGTCTAGATTTTATATGAAGATATTCCCGTTTCCAAGGAAATCTTCCTAGCTATCTAAAGATCAACTTGCAGATTCTACTAAAGGAGTGTTTCCAAAATGCTGTATCCACACAAAGGTTCAACTCTCTTAATTGAGGACATACAGCACAAAGAAGTTTCTGAGAATGCTTCTGTCTAGATTTTATATGAAGATATTCCCGTTTCCAAAGAAATCCTCAAAGGTGTCCAAATATCTACTTCCAGATTCTACAATAAGACTGTTTCAAAACGGCTCTGTCAAAAGAAAGGTTCAACTCTGTTAGTTGAGGACACACATCGCAAATAAGTTTCTGAGAATGCTTCTGTCTAGTTTTTATTTGAATATATTTCCTTTCTCACCATAGGCCTGAAAGTGTTTGAAATGTCCGTTTGCAGATACTACAGAAAGAGTTTTTCAAACATGCTCTATGAAAGGGAATGTTCAGTTCTGTGACGTGAATGCAAACATCACAAAGATGTTCCTGAGAATGCTTCTCTCTAGATTTTATATGAAGATATTCCCGTTTCCAACGAAACCTTCAAAGCTATCCAAATATCCACTTTCAGATTCCACAAAAAGAGTGTTTCAAAACTGCTCTGTAAAAAGAAAGGTTCAACTCTGTTAGTTGAATACACACATCACAAACAAGTTTCTGAGAATGCTTCTGTCTAGTTTTTATTTGAAGATATTTCCTTTTTCATCATAGGCCTCAAAGCGCTTGAAATGTCCGTTTGCAGATACTACAGAAAGAGTGTTTCAAACCTGCTCTATGATAGGAAGTGTTCAACTCTATGAGTTGAAGGCAAACATCACAGAGAAGTTTCTGACAATGCTTCTCTCTAGATTTTATATGTAATCCCGTTTCCAACGAAATCCTCAAAGCTATCCAAATATCCACTTTCAGATTCCACAAAAAGAGTGTTTCAAAACTGCTCTGTAAAAAGAAAGGTTCATCTCTGTTAGTTGAATACACACATCACAAACAAGTTTCTGAGAATGCTTCTGTCTAGTTTTTATGGGAAGATATTTCCTTTTTCAACATAGGCCTCAAAGCGCTCCAAATGTCCACTTCCAGGTAGTGCAGAAAGAGTGTTTCAAACCTGCTCTATAAAAGGGAATATTCAACTCTGTGACTTGAATGCAAACATCACAAAGCACTTTCTGAGAATGCTTCCGTCTAGATTTTATGTGAAGATATTCCCGTTTCCAAGGAAATCTTCCTAGCTATCTAAATATCAACTTGCAGATTCTACTAAAGGAACGTTTCCAAAATGCTGTTTCCAAACAAAGGTTCAACTCTGTTAATTGAAGACATACAGCACAAAGAGGTTTCTGAGAATGCTTCTGTCTAGATTTTATATGAAGATATCCCGTTTCCAAAGAAATCCTCAAAGGTATCCAAATATCTACTTGCAGATTCTACAAAAAGAGTGTTTCAAAACGGCTCTGTCAAAAGGAAGGTTCAACTCTGTTACTTGAGTACACACATAACAAGAAAGTTTCTGAGAATGCTTCTGTCTGGCTTTTAGGAGAAGATATTTCCTTTTTCAACATAGGCCTCAAAGCGCTGCAAATGTCCACTTCCAAATATTACAAAAAGAGTGTTTCCAAAATGCTGTATCCACACAAAGGTTCAACTCTGTTAATTGAGGACATACAGCACAAAGAAGTTTCTGAGAATGCTTCTGTCTAGATTTTATATGAAGATATTCCCGTTTCCAACGAAATCCTCAAAGCTATCCAAATATCCACTTTGAGATTCCACAAAAAGAGTGTTTCAAAACTGCTCTGTAAAAAGAAAGGTTCATCTCTGTTAGTTGAATACACACATCACAAACAAGTTTCTGAGAATGCTTCTGTCTAGTTTTTATTTGAAGATATTTCCTTTCTCACCACAGGCCTGAAAGCGCTTGAAACGTCCGTTTGCAGATACTACAGAAAGAGTGTTTCAAACCTGCTCTATGAAAGGGAATGTTCAGTTCTGTGATGAGAATGCAAACATCACAAAAAAATTCCTGAGAATGCTTCTCTCTAGATTTTATATGTAATCTCGTTTCCAACGAAATCCTCAAAGCTATCCAAATATCCACTTTCAGATTCCACAAAAAGAGTGTTTCAAAACTGCTCTGTAAAAAGAAAGGTTCATCTCTGTTAGTTGAATACACACATCACAAACAAGTTTCTGAGAATGCTTCTGTCTAGTTTTTATGGGAAGATATTTCCTTTTTCATCATAGGTCTCAAAGCGCTCCAAATGTCCACTTCCAGGTAGTGCAGAAAGAGTGTCTCAAACCTGGTATATAAAAGGGAACATTCTACTCTGTGACTTGAATGAAAACATCACAAAGCAGTTTCTGAGAATGCTTCCGTCTAGATTTTATAAGAAGATATTCCCGTTTCCAACGAAACCTTCAAAGCTATCCGAATATCCACCTGCAGATTCTACAAAAAGAGTGTTTCCAAAATGCCGTATCAAAACAAAGGTTCAACTCTGTTAGTTGAGAACACACATGGCAAATAAGTTTCTGAGAATGTTTCTGTCTAGTTTTTACTTGAAGATATTTCCTTTCTCACCATAGGCCTGAAAGCGCTTGAAACGTCAGCTTGCAGATACTACAGAAAGAGTGTTTCAAACATGCTCTATGAAAGGGAATGTTCAGTTCTGTGACTTGAATGCAAACATCACAAAGAAGTTCCTGAGAATGCTTCTCTCTAGATTTTATATGTAATCCCGTTTCCAACGAAATCCTCAAAGCTATCCAAATATCCACTTTCAGATTCCACAAAAAGAGTGTTTCAAAACTGCTCTGTAAAAAGAAAGGTTCATCTCTGTTAGTTGAATACACACATCACAAACAAGTTTCTGAGAATGCTTCTGTCTAGTTTTTATGGGAAGATATTTCCTTTCTCACCACAGGCCTGAAAGCGCTTGAAACGTCCGTTTGCAGATACTACAGAAAGAGTGTTTCAAACCTGCTCTATGAAAGGGAATGTTCAGTTCTGTGACTTGAATGCAAACATCAGAAAGAAGTTCCTGAGAATGCTTCTCCCTAGCTTTTATATGTAATCCCGTTTCCAACGAAATCCTCAAAGCTATCCAAATATCCACTTTCAGATTCTACAAAAAGAGTGTTTCAAAACTGCTCTGTAAAAAGAAAGGTTCATCTCTGTTAGTTGAATACACACATCACAAACAAGTTTCTGAGAATGCTTCTGTCTAGTTTCTATGGGAAGATACTTCCTTTTTTAACATAGGCCTCAAAGCGCTCCAAATGTCCACTTCCAGGTAGTGCACTGAGTGTTTCAAACCTGCTCTATAAAAGGGAATATTCTACTCTGTGACTTGAATGAAGACATCACAAAGCAGTTTCTGAGAATCCTTCCGTCTAGATTTTATATGAAGATATTCCCGTTTGCAAGGAAATCTTCCTAGCTATCTAAATATCAACTTGCAGATTCTACTAAAGGAATGTTTCCAAAATGCCGTATCGAAACAAAGGTTCAACTCTGTTAATTGAGGACATACAGCACAAAGAAGTGTCTGAGAATGCTTCTGTCTAGATTTTATATGAAGATATCCCGTGTCCAACGAAATCCTCAAAGGTATCAAAATATCCACTTGCAGATTCTACAAAAAGAGTGCTTCAAAACTGCTCTGTCAAAAGGAAGGTTCAACTCTGTTACTTGAGTACACACATCACAAGAAAGATTCTGAGAATGCTTCTGTCTGGTATTTAGGAGAAGATATCTCCTTTTTCACCATAAGCTTCAAAGCGCTGCCATTGTCCACTTCCAAATATTACAAAAAGAGTATTTCAAACCAGCTCTATGAAAGGATTTGTTCAACTCTATGAGTTGAATGCAAACAAAACAGAGAATTTTCTGAGAATGCTTCTGTCTTGATTTTATATGAAGATATTCCCGTTTCCAACGAAACCTTCAAAGCTATCCAAATATCCACCTGCAGATTCTACAAAAAGAGTGTTTCCAAAATGCTGTATCAAAACAAAGGTTCAACTCTGTTAGTTGAGGACACACATCGCAAATAAGTTTCTGAGAATGCTTCTGTCTAGTTTTTATTTGAAGATATTTCCTTTTTCACCACAGGCCTGAAAGCGCTTGAAACGTCCGCTTGCAGATACTACAGAAAGAGTGTTTCAAACCTGCTCTATGAAAGGGAATGTTCAGTTCTGTGACTTGAATGCAAACATCACAAAGAAGTTCCTCAGAATGCTTCTCCCTAGATTCTATATGTAATCCCGTTTCCAACGAAATCCTCAAAGCTATCCAAATATCCACTTTCAGATTCCACAAAAAGAGTGTTTCAAAACTGCTCTGTAAAAAGAAAGGTTCATCTCTGTTAGTTGAATACACACATCACAAACAAGTTTCTGAGAATGCTTCTGTCTAGTTTTTATGGGAAGATATTTCCTTTTTCAACATAGGCCTCAAAGCGCTCCAAATGTCCACTTCCAGGTAGTGCAGAAAGAGTGTTTCAAACCGGCTCTGTGAAAGGAAGTCTTCAACTCTATGAGTTGAATGCAAACATCACAGAGAAGTTTCTGAGAATGCTTCTGTCTTGATTTTATATGAAGATATTCCCGTTTCCAACGAAACCTTAAAAGCTATCCAAATATCCACTTGCAGATCCTACAAAAAGAGTGTTTCCAAAATGCTGTATCAAAACAAAGGTTCAAATCTGTTAGTTGAGGACACACATCGCAAATAAGTTTCTGAGAATGCTTCCGTCTAGTTTTTATTTGAAGATATTTCCTTTTTCTCCACAGGCCTGAAAGCGCTTGAAACGTCCGCTTGCAGATACTACTGAAAGAGAGTTTCAAACCTGCTCTATGAAAGGGAATGTTCAGTTCTGTGACTTGAATGCAAACATCACAAAGAAGTTCCTGAGAATGCTTCTCTCTAGAATTTATATGTAATCCCGTTTCCAACGAAATCCTCAAAGCTATCCAAATATCCACTTTCAGATTCCACAAAAAGAGTGTTTCAAAACTGCTCTGTAAAAAGAAAGGTTCATCTCTGTTAGTTGAATACACACATCACAAACAAGTTTCTGAGAATGCTTCTGTCTAGTTTTTATGGGAAGATATTTCCTTTTTCAACATAGGCCTCAAAGCGCTCTAAATGTCCACCTCCAGGTAGTGCAGAAAGAGTGTTTCAAACCTGCTCTATAAAAGGGAATATTCAACTCTGTGACTTGAATGCAAACATCACAAAGCACTTTCTGAGAATGCTTCCGTCTAGATTTTATGTGAAGATATTCCCGTTTCCAAGGAAATCTTCCTAGCTATCTAAATATCAACTTGCAGATTCTACTAAAGGAACGTTTCCAAAATGCTGTATCCAAACAAAGGTTCAACTCTGTTAATTGAAGACATACAGCACAAAGAAGTTTCTGAGAATGCTTCTGTCTAGATTTTATATGAAGATACTTCCTTTTTTAACATAGGCCTCAAAGGTATCCAAATATCTACTTGCAGATTCTACAAAAAGAGTGTTTCAAAACGGCTCTGTCAAAAGGAAGGTTCAACTCTGTCACTTGAGTACACACATTACAAGGAAGTTTCTGAGAATGCTTCTGTCTGGTTTTTAGGAGAAGATATTTCCTTTTTCAACATAGGCCTCAAAGCGCTGCAAATGTCCACTTCCAAATATTACAAAAAGAGTGTTTCAAACCTGCTCTATGAAGGGAAGTGTTCACCTCTATGAGTTGAATGCAAACATCACAGAGAAGTTTCTGAGAATGCTTCTGTCTTGATTTTATATGAAGATATTCCCGTTTCCAACGAAACCTTCAAAGCTATCCGAATATCCACCTGCAGATTCTACAAAAACAGTGTTTCCAAAATGTTGTATCAATAGAAAGGTTCAACTCTGTTAGTTGAGGACACACATCGCAAATATGTTTCTGAGAATGCTTCTGTCTGGTTTTTATTTGAAGATATTTCCTGTCTCACCATAGGCCTGAAAGCGCTTGGAATGTCCGTTTGCAGATACTACAGAAAGAGTGTTTCAAACCTGCTCTATGAAAGGGAATGTTCAGTTCTGTGACTTGAATGCAAACATCACAAAGAAGTTCCTGAGAATGCTTCTCTCTAGATTTTATATGTAATCCCGTTTCCAACGAAATCCTCAAAGCTATCCAAATATCCACTTTCAGATTCCACAAAAAGAGTGTTTCAAAACTGCTCTGTAAAAAGAAAGGTTCATCTCTGTTAGTTGAATACACACATCACAAACAAGTTTCTGAGAATGCTTCTGTCTAGTTTTGATGGGAAGATATTTCCTTTTTCAACATAGGCCTCAAAGCGCTCCAAATGTCCACTTCCAGGTAGTGCAGAAAGAGTGTTTCAAACCTGGTATATAACAGGGAACATTCTACTCTATGAGTTGAATGCAAACATCACAGAGAAGTTTCTGAGAATGCTTCTGTCTTGATTTTATATGAAGATATTCCCGTTTCCAACGAAACCTTAAAAGCTATCCAAATATCCACCTGCAGATCCTACAAAAAGAGTGTTTCCAAAATGCTGTATCCACACAAAGGTTCAACTCTGTTAGTTGAGGACACACATCGCAAATAAGTTTCTGAGAATGGTTCTGTCCAGTTTTTATGGGAAGATATTTCCTTTTTCAACATAGGACTCAAAGCGCTCCAAATGTCCACCTCCAGGTAGTGCAGAAAGAGTGTTTCAAACCTGCTCTATGAAAGGGAATGTTCAGTTCTGTGACTTGAATGCAAACATCACAAAGAAGTTCCTGAGAATGCTTCTCTCTAGGTTTTATATGTAATCCCTTTTCCAACGAAATCCTCAAAGCCATCCAAATATCTACTTTCAGACTCCACAAAAAGAGTGTTTCAAAACTGCTCTGTAAAAAGAAAGGTTCATCTCTGTTAGTTGAATACACACATCACAAACAAGTTTCTGAGAATGCTTCTGTCTAGTTTTTATGGGAAGATATTTCCTTTTTCAACATAGGCCTCAAAGCGCACCCAATGTCCACTTCCAGGTAGTGCAGAAAGAGTGTTTCAAACCTGCTCTATAAAAGGGAATATTCACCTCTGTGACTTGAATGCAAACATCACAAAGCACTTTCTGAGAATGCTTCCGTCTAGATTTTATATGAAGATATTCCCGTTTCCAAGGAAATCTTCCTAGCTATCTAAATATCAACTTGCAGATTGTACTAAAGGAATGTTTCCAAAATGCCGTATCGAAACAAAGGTTCAACTCTGTTAATTGAGGACATACAGCACAAAGAAGTGTCTGAGAATGCTTCTGTCTAGATTTTATATGAAGATATCCCGTGTCCAACGAAATCCTCAAGGGTATCAAAATATCCACTTGCAGATTCTACAAAAAGAGTGCTTCAAAACTGCTCTGTCAAAAGGAAGGTTCCACTCTGTTACTTGAGTACACACATCACAAGAAAGATTCTGAGAATGCTTCTGTCTGGTTTTTAGGAGAATATATCTCCTTTTACACCATAAGCTTCAAAGCGCTGCCAATGTCCACTTCCAAATATTACAAAAAGAGTATTTCAAACCAGCTCTATGAAAGGAATTGTTCAACTCTATGATTTGAATGCAAACATCAGAGAGAAGTTTCTGAGAATGCTTCTGTCTTGATTTTATATGAAGATATTCCCGTTTCCAACGAAACCTTCAAAGCTATCCAAATATCCACCTGCAGATCCTACAAAAAGAGTGTTTCCAAAATGCTGTATCAAAACAAAGGTTCAACTCTGTTAGTTGAGGAAACACATCGCAAATAAGTTTCTGAGAATGCTTCTGTCTAGTTTTTATTTGAAGAGATTTCCTTTTTCACCACAGGCCTGAAAGCGCTTGAAACGTCCGCTTGCAGATACTACAGAAAGAGTGTTTCAAACCTGCTCTATGAAAGGGAATGTTCAGTTCTGTGACTTGAATGCAAACATCACAAAGAAGTTCCTGAGAATGCTTCTCCCTAGATTTTATATGTAATCCCGTTTCCAACGAAATCCTCAAAGCTATCCAAATATCCACTTTCAGATTCCACAAAAAGAGTGTTTCAAAACTGCTCTGTAAAAAGAAAGGTTCATCTCTGTTAGTTGAATACACACATCACAAACAAGTTTCTGAGAATGCTTCTGTCTAGTTTTTATGGGAAGATATTTCCTTTTTCATCATAGGCCTCAAAGCGCTCCAAATGTCCACTTCCAGGTAGTGCAGAAAGAGTGTCTCAAACCTGGTATATAAAAGGGAACATTCTACTCTGTGACTTCAATGAAAACATCACAAAGCAGTTTCTGAGAATGCTTCCGTCTAGATTTTATATGAAGATATTCCCGTTTCCAACGAAACCTTCAAAGCTATCCGAATATCCACCTGCAGATTCTACAAAAAGAGTGTTTCCAAAATGCCGTATCAAAACAAAGTTTCAACTCTGTTAGTTGAGAACACACATGGCAAATAAGTTTCTGAGAATGTTTCTGTCTAGTTTTTACTTGAAGATATTTCCTGTCTCACCATAGGCCTGAAAGCGCTTGAAACGTCAGCTTGCAGATACTACAGAAAGAGTGTATCAAACATGCTCTATGAAAGGGAATGTTCAGTTCTGTGACTTGAATGCAAACATCACAAAGAAGTTCCTGAGAATGCTTCTCTCTAGATTTTATATGTAATCCCGTTTCCAACGAAATCCTCAAAGCTATCCAAATATCCACTTTCAGATTCCACAAAAAGAGTGTTTCAAAACTGCTCTGTAAAAAGAAAGGTTCATCTCTGTTAGTTGAATACACACATCACAAACAAGTTTCTGAGAATGCTTCTGTCTAGTTTTTATTTGAAGATATTTCCTTTCTCACCACAGGCCTGAAAGCGCTTGAAACGTCCGTTTGCAGATACTACAGAAAGAGTGTTTCAAACATGCTCTATGAAAGGGAATGTTCAGTTCTGTGACGTGAATGCAAACATCACAAAGAAGTTCCTGAGAATGCTTCTCTCTAGATTTTATATGTAATCTCGTTTCCAACGAAATCCTCAAAGCTATCCAAATATCCACTTTCAGATTCCACAAAAAGAGTGTTTCAAAACTGCTCTGTAAAAAGAAAGGTTCATCTCTTTTAGTTGAATACACACATCACAAACAAGTTTCTGAGAATGCTTCTGTCTAGTTTTTATGGGAAGATATTTCCTTTTTCAACATAGGCCTCAAAGCGCTCCAAATGTCCACTTCCAGGTAGTGCAGAAAGAGTGTTTCAAACCTGCTCTATAAAAGGGAATATTCACCTCTGTGACTTGAATGCAAACATCACAAAGCACTTTCTGAGAATGCTTCCGTCTAGATTTTATATGAAGATATTCCCGTTTCCAAGGAAATCTTCCTAGCTATCTAAATATCAACTTGCAGATTGTACTAAAGGAATGTTTCCAAAATGCCGTATCGAAACAAAGGTTCAACTCTGTTAATTGAGGACATACAGCACAAAGAAGTGTCTGAGAATGCTTCTGTCTAGATTTTATATGAAGATATCCCGTGTCCAACGAAATCCTCAAAGGTATCAAAATATCCACTTGCAGATTCTACAAAAAGAGTGCTTCAAAACTGCTCTGTCAAAAGGAAGGTTCCACTCTGTTACTTGAGTACACACATCACAAGAAAGATTCTGAGAATGCTTCTGTCTGGTTTTTAGGAGAATATATCTCCTTTTACACCATAAGCTTCAAAGCGCTGCCAATGTCCACTTCCAAATATTACAAAAAGAGTATTTCAAACCAGCTCTATGAAAGGAATTGTTCAACTCTATGATTTGAATGCAAACATCAGAGAGAAGTTTCTGAGAATGCTTCTGTCTTGATTTTATATGAAGATATTCCCGTTTCCAACGAAACCTTCAAAGCTATCCAAATATCCACCTGCAGATCCTACAAAAAGAGTGTTTCCAAAATGCTGTATCAAAACAAAGGTTCAACTCTGTTAGTTGAGGACACACATCGCAAATAAGTTTCTGAGAATGCTTCTGTCTAGTTTTTATTTGAAGAGATTTCCTTTTTCACCACAGGCCTGAAAGCGCTTGAAACGTCCGCTTGCAGATACTACAGAAAGAGTGTTTCAAACCTGCTCTATGAAAGGGAATGTTCAGTTCTGTGACTTGAATGCAAACATCACAAAGAAGTTCCTGAGAATGCTTCTCCCTAGATTTTATATGTAATCCCGTTTCCAACGAAATCCTCAAAGCTATCCAAATATCCACTTTCAGATTCCACAAAAAGAGTGTTTCAAAACTGCTCTGTAAAAAGAAAGGTTCATCTCTGTTAGTTGAATACACACATCACAAACAAGTTTCTGAGAATGCTTCTGTCTAGTTTTTATGGGAAGATATTTCCTTTTTCATCATAGGCCTCAAAGCGCTCCAAATGTCCACTTCCAGGTAGTGCAGAAAGAGTGTCTCAAACCTGGTATATAAAAGGGAACATTCTACTCTGTGACTTCAATGAAAACATCACAAAGCAGTTTCTGAGAATGCTTCCGTCTAGATTTTATATGAAGATATTCCCGTTTCCAACGAAACCTTCAAAGCTATCCGAATATCCACCTGCAGATTCTACAAAAAGAGTGTTTCCAAAATGCCGTATCAAAACAAAGGTTCAACTCTGTTAGTTGAGAACACACATGGCAAATAAGTTTCTGAGAATGTTTCTGTCTAGTTTTTACTTGAAGATATTTCCTGTCTCACCATAGGCCTGAAAGCGCTTGAAACGTCAGCTTGCAGATACTACAGAAAGAGTGTATCAAACATGCTCTATGAAAGGGAATGTTCAGTTCTGTGACTTGAATGCAAACATCACAAAGAAGTTCCTGAGAATGCTTCTCTCTAGATTTTATATGTAATCCCGTTTCCAACGAAATCCTCAAAGCTATCCAAATATCCACTTTCAGATTCCACAAAAAGAGTGTTTCAAAACTGCTCTGTAAAAAGAAAGGTTCATCTCTGTTAGTTGAATACACACATCACAAACAAGTTTCTGAGAATGCTTCTGTCTAGTTTTTATTTGAAGATATTTCCTTTCTCACCACAGGCCTGAAAGCGCTTGAAACGTCCGTTTGCAGATACTACAGAAAGAGTGTTTCAAACATGCTCTATGAAAGGGAATGTTCAGTTCTGTGACGTGAATGCAAACATCACAAAGAAGTTCCTGAGAATGCTTCTCTCTAGATTTTATATGTAATCTCGTTTCCAACGAAATCCTCAAAGCTATCCAAATATCCACTTTCAGATTCCACAAAAAGAGTGTTTCAAAACTGCTCTGTAAAAAGAAAGGTTCATCTCTGTTAGTTGAATACACACATCACAAACAAGTTTCTGAGAATGCTTCTGTCTAGTTGTTATGGGAAGATATTTCCTTTTTCATCATAGGCCTCAAAGCGCTCCAAAAGTCCACTTCCAGGTAGTGCAGAAAGAGTGTCTCAAACCTGGTATATAAAAGGGAACATTCTACTCTGTGACTTGAATGAAAACATCACAAAGCAGTTTCTGAGAATGCTTCCGTCTAGATTTTATATGAAGATATTCCCGTTTCCAACGAAACCTTCAAAGCTATCCGAATATCCACCTGCAGATTCTACAAAAAGAGTGTTTCCAAAATGCCGTATCAAAACAAAGGTTCAACTCTGTTAGTTGAGAACACACATGGCAAATAAGTTTCTGAGAATGCTTCTGTCTAGTTTTTACTTGAAGATATTTCCTTTCTCACCATAGGCCTGAAAGCGCTTGAAACGTCAGCTTGCAGATACTACAGAAAGAGTGTTTCAAACATGCTCCATGAAAGGGAATGTTCAGTTCTGTGACTTGAATGCAAACATCACAAAGAAGTTCCTGAGAATGCTTCTCTCTAGATTTTATATGTAATCCCGTTTGCAACGAAATCCTCAAAGCTATCCAAATATCCACTTTCAGATTCCACAGAAAGAGTGTTTCAAAACTGCTCTGTAAAAAGGAAGGTTCATCTCTGTTAGTTGAATACACACATCACAAAGAAGTTTCTGAGAATGCTTCTGTCTAGTTTTCATGGGAAGATATTTCCTTTTTCAACATAGGCCTCAAAGCGCTCCAAATGTCCACTTCCAGGTAGTGCAGAAAGAGTGTTTCAAACCTGCTCTATAAAAGGGAATATTCAACTCTGTGACTTGAATGCAAACATCACAAAGCACTTTCTGAGAATGCTTCCGTCTAGATTTTATATGAAGATATTCCCGTTTCCAAGGAAATCTTCCTTGCTATCTAAATATCAACTTGCAGATTCTACTAAAGGAATGTTTCCAAAATGCTGTATCCACACAAAGGTTCAACTCTGTTAATTGAGGACATACAGCACAAAGAAGTGTCTGAGAATGCTTCTGTGTAGATTTTATATAAAGATATCCCGTTTCCAAAGAAATCCTCAAAGGTATCCAAATATCTACTTCCAGATTCTACAAAAAGACTGTTTCAAAACGGCTCTGTCAAAAGTAAGGTTCAACTCTGTCACTTGAGTAAACACATCACAAGGAAGTTTCTGAGAATGCTTCTGTCTGGTTTTTAGGAGAAGATATTTCCTTTTTCAACATAGGCCTCAAAGCGCTGCAAATGTCCACTTCCAAATATTTCAAAAAGAGTGTTTCAAACCTGCTCTATGAAGGGAAGTGTTCACCTCTATGAGTTGAATGCAAACATCACAGAGAAGTTTCTGAGAATGCTTCTGTCTTGATTTTATATGAAGATATTCCCGTTTCCAACGAAACCTTCAAAGCTATCCGAATATCCACCTGCAGATTCTACAAAAAGAGTGTTTCCAAAATGTTGTATCAAAAGAAAGGTTCAACTCTGTTAGTTGAGGACACACATCGCAAATAAGTTTCTGAGAATGCTTCTGTCTGGTTTTTAGTTGAAGATATTTCCTTTCTCACCATAGGCCTGAAAGCGCTTGGAATGTCCGTTTGCAGATACTACAGAAAGAGTGTTTCAAACCTGCTCTATGAAAGGGAATGTTCAGTTCTGTGATGAGAATGCAAACATCACAAAAAAATTCCTGAGAGTGCTTCTCTCTAGATGTTGTATGTAATCCCGTTTCCAACGAAATCCTCAAAGCTATCCAAATATCCACTTTCAGATTCCACAAAAAGAGTGTTTCGAAACTGCTCTGTAAAAAGAAAGGTTCATCTCTGTTAGTTGAATACACACATCACAAACAAGTTTCTGAGAATGCTTCTGTCTAGTTTTTATGGGAAGATATTTCCTTTTTCATCATAGGCCTCAAAGCGCTCCAAATGTCCACTTCCAGGTAGTGCAGAAAGAGTGTCTCAAACCTGGTATATAACAGGGAACATTCTACTCTGTGACTTGAATGAAAACATCACAAAGCAGTTTCTGAGAATGCTTCCGTCTAGATTTTATATGAAGATATTCCCGTTTCCAACGAAACCTTCAAAGCTATCCGAATATCCACTTGCAGATTCTACAAAAAGAGTGTTTCCAAAATGCCGTATCAAAACAAAGGTTCAACTCTGTTAGTTGAGAACACACATGGCAAATAAGTTTCTGAGAATGCTTCTGTCTATTTTTTACTTGAAGATATTTCCTTTCTCACCACAGGCCTGAAAGCGCTTGAAACGTCAGCTTGCAGATACTACAGAAAGAGTGTTTCAAACATGCTCTATGTAAGGGAATGTTCAGGTCTGTGACTTGAATGCAAACATCACAAAGAAGTTCCTGAGAATGCTTCTCTCTAGGTTTTATATGTAATCCCGTTTCCAACGAAATCCTCAATGCTATCCAAATATCCACTTTCAGATTCTACAAAAAGAGTGTTTCAAAACTGCTCTGTAAAAAGAAAGGTTCATCTCTGTTAGTTGAATACACACATCACAAACAAGTTTCTGAGAATGCTTCTGTCTAGTTTTTATGGGAAGATATTTCCTTTTTCAACATAGGCCTGAAAGCGCTCCAAATGTCCACTTCCAGGTAGTGCAGAAAGAGTGTTTCAAACGTGCTCTATAAAAGGGAATATTCAACTCTGTGACTTGAATGCAAACATCACAAAGCACTTTCTGAGAATGCTTCCGTCTAGATTTTATATGAAGATATTCCCGTTTCCAAGGAAATCTTCCTAGCTATCTAAATATCAACTTGCAGATTCTACTAAAGGAATGTTTCCAAAATGCTGTATCCACACAAAGGTTCAATTCTGTTAATTGAGGACATACAGCACAAAGAAGTGTCTGAGAATGCTTCTGTGTAGATTTTATATAAAGATATCCCGTTTCCAAAGAAATCCTCAAAGGTATCCAAATATCTACTTCCAGATTCTACAAAAAGACTGTTTCAAAACGGCTCTGTCAAAAGTAAGGTTCAACTGTGTTACTTGAGTACACACATCACAAGGAAGTTTCTGAGAATGCTTCTGTCTGGTTTTTAGGAGAAGATATTTCCTTTTTCAACCTAGGCCTCAAAGCGCTGCAAATGTCCACTTCCAAATATTTCAAAAAGAGTGTTTAAAACCTGCTGTATGAAAGGAAGTGTTCAACTCTATGAGTTGAATGCAAACATCACAGAGAAGTTTCTGAGAATGCTTCTGTCTTGATTTTATATGAAAATATTCCCGTTTCCAACGAAACCTTCAAAGCTATCCAAATATCCACCTGCAGATCCTACAAAAAGAGTGTTTCCAAAATGCTGTATCAAAACAAAGGTTCAACTCTGTTAGTTGAGGACAAACATCGCAAATAAGTTTCTGAGAATGCTTCTGTCTAGTTTTTATTTGAAGAGATTTCCTTTTTCACCACAGGCCTGAAAGCGCTTGAAACGTCCGCTTGCAGATACTACAGAAAGAGTGTTTCAAACCTGCTCCATGAAAGGGAATGTTCAGTTCTGTGACTTGAATGCAAACATCACAAAGAAGTTCCTGAGAATGCTTCTCCCTAGATTTTATATGTAATCCCGTTTCCAACGAAATCCTCAAAGCTATCCAAATATCCACTTTCAGATTCCACAAAAAGAGTGTTTCAAAACTGCTCTGTAAAAAGAAAGGTTCATCTCTGTTAGTTGAATACACACATCACAAACAAGTTTCTGAGAATGCTTCTGTCTAGTTTTTATGGGAAGATATTTCCTTTTTCATCATAGGCCTCAAAGCGCTCCAAATGTCCACTTCCAGGTAGTGCAGAAAGAGTGTCTCAAACCTGGTATATAAAAGGGAACATTCTACTCTGTGACTTCAATGAAAACATCACAAAGCAGTTTCTGAGAATGCTTCCGTCTAGATTTTTTATGAAGATATTCCCGTTTCCAACGAAACCTTCAAAGCTATCCGAATATCCACCTGCAGATTCTACAAAAAGAGTGTTTCCAAAATGCCGTATCAAAACAAAGGTTCAACTCTGTTAGTTGAGAACACACATGGCAAATAAGTTTCTGAGAATGTTTCTGTCTAGTTTTTACTTGAAGATATTTCCTTTCTCACCATAGGCCTGAAAGCGCTTGAAACGTCAGCTTGCAGATACTACAGAAAGAGTGTATCAAACATGCTCTATGAAAGGGAATGTTCAGTTCTGTGACTTGAATGCAAACATCACAAAGAAGTTCCTGAGAATGCTTCTCCCTAGATTTTATATGTAATCCCGTTTCCAACGAAATCCTCAAAGCTATCCAAATATCCACTTTCAGATTCCACAAAAAGAGTGTTTCAAAACTGCTCTGTGAAAAGAAAGGTTCATCTCTGTTAGTTGAATACCCACATCACAAACAAGTTTCTGAGAATGCTTCTGTCTAGTTTTTATGGGAAGATAATTCCTTTTTCAAAATAGGCCTCAAAGCGCTCCAAATGTCCACTTCCAGGTAGTGCACAGAGTGTTTCAAATCTGCTCTATGAAAGGAAGTGTTCAACTCTATGAGTTGAATGCAAACATCACAGAGAAGTTTCTGAGAATGCTTCTGTCTTGATTTTATATGAAGATATTCCCGTTTCCAACGAAACCTTAAAAGCTATCCAAATATCCACCTGCAGATCCTACAAAAAGAGTGTTTCCAAAATGCTGTATCAAAACAAAGGTTCAACTCTGTTAGTTGAGGACACACATCGCAAATAAGTTTCTGAGAATGCTTCTGTCTGGTTTTTATTTGAAGATATTTCCTTTCTCACCATAGACCTGAAAGCGCTTGGAATGTCCGTTTGCAGATACTACAGAAAGAGTGTTTCAAACCTGCTCTATGAAAGGGAATGTTCAGTTCTGTGATGAGAATGCAAACATCACAAAAAAATTCCTGAGAGTGCTTCTCTCTAGATGTTGTATGTAATCCCGTTTCCAACGAAATCCTCAAAGCTATCCAAATATCCACTTTCAGATTCCACAAAAAGAGTGTTTCAAAACTGCTCTGTAAAAAGAAAGGTTCATCTCTGTTAGTTGAATACACACATCACAAACAAGTTTCTGAGAATGCTTCTGTCTAGTTTTTATGGGAAGTTATTTCCTTTTTCATCATAGGCCTCAAAGCGCTCCAAATGTCCACTTCCAGGTAGTGCAGAAAGAGTGTCTCAAACCTGGTATATAAAAGGGAACATTCTACTCTGTGACTTGAATGAAAACATCACAAAGCAGTTTCTGAGAATGCTTCCGTCTAGATTTTATATGAAGATATTCCCGTTTCCAACGAAACCTTCAAAGCTATCCGAATATCCACGTGCAGATTCTACAAAAAGAGTGTTTCCAAAATGCCGTATCAAAACAAAGGTTCAACTCTGTTAGTTGAGAACACACATGGCAAATAAGTTTCTGAGAATGTTTCTGTCTAGTTTTTACTTGAAGATATTTCCTTTCTCACCATAGGCCTGAAAGCGCTTGAAACGTCAGCTTGCAGATACTACAGAAAGAGTGTTTCAAACATGCTCCATGAAAGGGAATGTTCAGTTCTGTGACTTGAATGCAAACATCACAAAGAAGTTCCTGAGAATGCTTCTCTCTAGATTTTATATGTAATCCCGTTTCCAACGAAATCCTCAAAGCTATCCAAATATCCACTTTCAGATTCCACAAAAAGAGTGTTTCAAAACTGCTCTGTAAAAAGAAAGGTTCATCTCTTTTAGTTGAATACACACATCACAAACAAGTTTCTGAGAATGCTTCTGTCTAGTTTTTATGGGAAGATATTTCCTTTTTCAACATAGGCCTCAAAGCGCTCCAAATGTCCACTTCCAGGTAGTGCAGAAAGAGTGTTTCAAACCTGCTCTATAAAAGGGAATATTCACCTCTGTGACTTGAATGCAAACATCACAAAGCACTTTCTGAGAATGCTTCCGTCTAGATTTTATATGAAGATATTCCCGTTTCCAAGGAAATCTTCCTTGCTATCTAAATATCAACTTGCAGATTCTACTAAAGGAATGTTTCCAAAATGCTGTATCCACACAAAGGTTCAACTCTGTTAATTGAGGACATACAGCACAAAGAAGTGTCTGACAATGCTTCTGTGTACATTTTATATAAAGATATCCCGTTTCCAAAGAAATCCTCAAAGGTATCCAAATATCTACTTCCAGATTCTACAAAAAGACTGTTTCAAAACGGCTCTGTCAAAAGTAAGGTTCAACTCTGTTACTTGAGTACACACATCACAAGGAAGTTTCTGAGAATGCTTCTGTCTGGTTTTTAGGAGAAGATATTTCCTTTTTCAACATAGGCCTCAAAGCGCTGCAAATGTCCACTTCCAAATATTACAAAAAGAGTGTTTCAAACCTGCTGTATGAAGGGAAGTGTTCAACTCTATGAGTTGAATGCAAACATCACAGAGAAGTTTCTGAGAATGCTTCTGTCTTGATTTTATATGAAGATATTCCCGTTTCCAACGAAACCTTCAAAGCTATCCAAATATCCACTTGCAGATTCTACAAAAAGAGTGTTTCCAAAATGTTGTATCAAAAGAAAGGTTCAACTCTGTTAGTTGAGGACACACATCGCAAATAAGTTTCTGAGAATGCTTCTGTCTAGTTTTTATTTGAAGATATTTCCTTTCTCACCATAGGCCTGAAAGCGTTTGAAATGTCCGTTTGCAGATACTACAGAAAGAGTGTTTCAAACATGCTCTATGAAAGGGAATGTTTAGTTCTGTGACGTGAATGCAAACATCACAAAGAAGTTCCTGAGAATGCTTCTCTCTAGATTTTATATGTAATCCCGTTTCCAACGAAATCCTCAAAGCTATCCAAATATCCACTTTCAGATTCCACAAAAAGAGTGTTTCAAAACTGCTCTGTAAAAAGAAAGGTTCATCTCTGTTAGTTGAATACACACATCACAAACAAGTTTCTGAGAATGCTTCTGTCTAGTTTTTATGGGAAGATATTTCCTTTTTCATCATAGGCCTCAAAGCGCTCCAAATGTCCACTTCCAGGTAGTGCAGAAAGAGTGTCTCAAACCTGGTATATAACAGGGAACATTCTACTCTGTGACTTGAATGAAAACATCACAAAGCAGTTTCTGAGAATGCTTCCGTCTAGATTTTATATGAAGATATTCCCGTTTCCAAGGAAATCTTCCTAGCTATCTAAATATCAACTTGCAGATTCTACTAAAGGAATGTTTCCAAAATGCTGTATCCACACAAAGCTTCAACTCTGTTAATTGAGGACATACAGCACAAAGAAGTTTCTGAGAATGCTTCTGTCTAGATTTTATATGAAGATATCCCGTGTCCAACGAAATCCTCAAAGGTATCAAAATATCCCCTTGCAGATTCTACAAAAAGAGTGCTTCAAAACTGCTCTGTCAAAATGAAGGTTCAACTCTGTTACTTGAGTACACACATCACAAGAAAGATTCTGAGAATGCTTCTGTCTGGTTTTTAGGAGAAGATATCTCCTTTTTCACCATAGGCTTCAAAGCGCTGCCAATGTCCACTTCCAAATATTACAAAAAGAGTATTTCAAACCAGCTCTATGAAAGGAAGTGTTCAACTCTGTGAGTTGAATGCAAACATCACAGAGAAGTTTCTGAGAATGCTTCTGTGTTGATTTTATATGAAGATATTCCCGTTTCCAACGAAACCTTCAAAGCTATCCAAATATCCACCTGCAGATCCTACAAAAAGAGTGTTTCCAAAATGCTGTATCAAAACAAAGGTTCAACTCTGTTAGTTGAGAACACACATCGCAAATATGTTTCTGAGAATGCTTCTGTCTAGTTTTTATTTGAAGATATTTCCTCTTTCACCACAGGCCTGAAAGCGCTAGAAACGTCCGCTTGCAGATACTACAGAAAGAGTGTTTCAAACCTGCTCTATGAAAGGGAATGTTCAGTTCTGTGACTTGAATGCAAACATCACAGAGGAGTTCCTGAGAATGCTTATCCCTAGATTTTATATGTAATCCCGTTTCCAACGAAATCCTCAAAGCTATCCAAATATCCACTTTCAGATTCCACAAAAAGAGTGTTTCAAAACTGCTCTGTAAAAAGAAAGGTTCATCTCTGTTAGTTGAATACACACATCACAAACAAGTTTCTGAGAATGCTTCTGTCTAGTTTTTATGGGAAGATATTTCCTTTTTCAACATAGGCCTCAAAGCGCTCCAAACGTCCACTTCCAGGTAGTGCACAGAGTGTTTCAAACCTGCTCTATGAAAGGAAGTGTTCAACTCTATGAGTTGAAGGCAAACATCACAGAGAAGTTTCTGAGAATGCTTCTGTCTTGATTTTATATGAGGATATTCCCGTTTCCAACGAAACCATCAAAGCTATCCAAATATCCACCTGCAGATCCTACAAAAAGAGTGTTTCCAAAATGCTGTATCAAAACAAAGGTTCAACTCTGTTAGTTGAGAACACACATCGCAAATAAGTTTCTGAGAATGCTTCTGTCTAGTTTCTATTTGAAGATATTTCCTTTTTCACCACAGGCCTGAAAGCGCTTGAAACGTCCGCTTGCAGATACTACAGAAAGAGTGTTTCAAACCTGCTCTATGAAAGGGAATGTTCAGTTCTGTGACTTGAATGCAAACATCACAAAGAAGTTCCTGGGAATGCTTCTCCCTAGATTTTATATGTAATCCCGTTTCCAACGAAATCCTCAAAGCTATCCAAATATCCACTTTCAGATTCCACAAAAAGAGTGTTTCAAAACTGCTCTGTAAAAAGAAAGGTTCATCTCTGTTAGTTGAATACACACATCACAAACAAGTTTCTGAGAATGCTTCTGTCTAGTTTTTATGGGAAGATATTTCCTTTTTCATCATAGGCCTCAAAGCGCTGCAAATGTCCACTTCCAAATATTACAAAAAGAGTGTTTCAAACCTGCTGTATGAAGGGAAGTATTCAACTCTATGAGTTGAATGTAAACATCACAGAGAAGTTTCTGAGAATGCTTCTGTCTTGATTTTATATGAAGATATTCCCGTTTCCAACGAAACCTTCAAAGCTATCCTAATATCCACTTGCAGATTCTACAAAAAGAGTGTTTCCAAAATGTTGTATCAAAAGAAAGGTTCAACTCTGTTAGTTGAGGACACACATCGCAAATAAGTTTCTGAGAATGCTTCTGTCTAGTTTTTATTTGAAGATATTTCCTTTCTCACCATAGGCCTGAAAGCGTTTGAAATGTCCGTTTGCAGATACTACAGAAAGAGTGTTTCAAACATGCTCTATGAAAGGGAATGTTCAGTTCTGTGACGTGAATGAAAACATCACAAAGAAGTTCCTGAGAATGCTTCTCTCTAGATTTTATATGTAATCCCGTTTCCAACGAAATCCTCAAAGCTATCCAAATATCCACTTTCAGATTCCACAAAAAGAGTGTTTCAAAACTGCTCTGTAAAAAGAAAGGTTCATCTCTGTTAGTTGAATACACACATCACAAACAAGTTTCTGAGAATGCTTCTGTCTAGTTTTTATGGGAAGATATTTCCTTTTTCAACATAGGCCTCAAAGCGCTCCAAATGTCCACTTCCAGGTAGTGCACAGAGTGTTTCAAACCTGCTCTATGAAAGGAAGTGTTCAACTCTATGAGTTGAAGGCAAACATCACAGAGAAGTTTCTGAGAATGCTTCTGTCTTGATTTTATATGAGGATATTCCCGTTTCCAACGAAACCATCAAAGCTATCCAAATATCCACCTGCAGATCCTACAAAAAGAGTGTTTCCAAAATGCTGTATCAAAACAAAGGTTCAACTCTGTTAGTTGAGAACACACATCGCAAATAAGTTTCTGAGAATGCTTCTGTCTAGTTTTTATTTGAAGATATTTCCTTTTTCACCACAGGCCTGAAAGCGCTTGAAACGTCCGCCTGCAGATACTACAGAAAGAGTGTTTCAAAGCTGCTCTATGAAAGGGAATGTTGAGTTCTGTGACTTGAATGCAAATATCACAAAGAAGTTCCTGAGAATGCTTCTCCCTAGATTTTATATGTAATCCCGTTTCCAACGAAACCCTCAAAGCTATCCAAATATCCACTTTCAGATTCCACAAAAAGAGTGTTTCAAAACTGCTCTGTAAAAAGAAAGGTTCATCTCTTTTAGTTGAATACACACATCACAAACAAGTTTCTGAGAATGCTTCTGTCTAGTTTTTATGGGAAGATATTTCCTTTTTCAACATAGGCCTCAAAGCGCTCCCAATGTCCACTTCCACGTAGTGCACAGAGTGTTTCAAACCTGCTCTATAAAAGGGAACATTCTACTCTGTGACTTGAATGAAGACATCACAAAGCAGTTTCTGAGAATGCTTCCGTCTAGATTTTATATGAAGATATTCCCGTTTCCAAGGATATCTTCCTAGCTATCTAAATATCAACTTGCAGATTCTACTAAAGGAATGTTTCCAAAATGCTGTATCCACACAAAGGTTCAACTCTGTTAATGGAGGACACACAGCAAGAAGAAGTTTCTGAGAATGCTTCTGTCTAGATTTTATATGAAGATATCCCGTTTCCAAAGAAATCCTCAAAGGTATCCAAATATCTACTTGCAGATTCTACAAAAAGAGTGTTTCAAAACGGCTCTGTAAAAGGAAGGTTCAACTCTGTTATTTGAGTACACTCATCACAAGGAAGTTTCTGAAAATGCTTCTGTCTGGTTTTTAGGAGAAGATATTTCCTTTTTCACCATCGGCCTCAAAGCGGTGCTAAAGTCCACTTCCGAATATCACAAAGAGTGTTTCAAACGTGCTCTATGAAAGGAAGTGTTCAACTCTATGAGTTGAATGCAAACATCACAGAGAAGTTTCTGAGAATGCTTCTGTTTTGATTTTATATGAAGATATTCCCGTTTCTAAAGAAACCTTCAAAGCTATCCAAGTATTCACCTGCAGATTCTCCCAAAAGAGTGTTTGCAAAATGTTGTATCAAAACAAAGGTTCAACTCTGTTAGTTGAGGACACACATCGCAAATAAGTTTCTGAGAATGCTTCTGTCTAGTTTTTATTTGAAGATAATTCCTTTCTCACCATAGGCCTGAAAGCGCTTGAAATGTCCGCTTGGAGATACTACAGAAAGAGTGTTTCAAACATGCTCTATGAAAGGGAATGTTCAGTTCTGTGACTTGAATGCAAACATCACAAAGAAATTCCTGAGAATGCTTCTCTCTAGATTTTATATGTAATCCCGTTTCCAACGAAATCGTCAAAGCTGTCCACATATCCACTTTCAGATTCCACAAAAAGAGTGTTTCAAAACTGCTCTGTAAAAAGAAAGGTTCATCTCTGTTAGTTGAATACACACATCACAAACAAGTTTCTGAGAATGCTTCTGTCTAGTTTTTATGGGAAGATATTTCCTTTTTCATCATAGGCCTCAAAGCGCTCCAAATGTCCACTTCCATGTAGTGCAGAAAGAGTGTCTCAAACCTGGTATATAAAAGGGAACATTCTACTCTGTGACTTGAATGAAAACATTACAAAGCAGTTTCTGAGAATGCTTCCGTCTAGATTTTATATGAAGATATTCCCGTTTCCAACGAAACCTTCAAAGCTATTCGAATATCCACCTGCAGATTCTACAAAAAGAGTGTTTCCAAAATGCCGTATCAAAACAAAGGTTCAACTCTGTTAGTTGAGAACACACATGGCAAATAAGTTTCTGAGAATGTTTCTGTCTAGTTTTTACTTGAAGATATTTCCTTTCTCACCATAGGCCTGAAAGCGCTTGAAACGTCTGCTTGCAGATACTACAGAAAGAGTGTTTCACACCTGCTCTATGAAAGGGAATGTTCAGTTCTGTGACTTGAATGCAAACATCACAAAGAAGTTCCCGAGAATGCTTCTCCCTAGATTTTATATGTAATCCCGTTTCCAACGAAATCCTCAAAGCTATCCAAATATCCACTTTCAGATTCCACAAAAAGAGTGTTTCAAAACTGCTCTGTAAAAAGAAAGGTTCATCTCTGTTAGTTGAATACACACATCACAAACAAGTTTCTGAGAATGCTTCTGTCTAGTTTCTATGGGAAGATATTTCCTTTTTCAACATAGGCCTCAAAGCGCTCCAAATGTCCACTTCCAGGTAGTGCACTGAGTGTTTCAAACCTGCTCTATAAAAGGGAACATTCTGCTCTGTGACTTGAATGAAGACATCACAAAGCAGTTTCTGAGAATGCTTCCGTCTAGATTTTATGTGAAGATATTCCCGTTTCCAAGGAAATCTTCCTAGCTATCTAAATATCAACTTGCATATCCTACTAAAGGAATGTTTCCAAAATGCCGTATCGAAACAAAGGTTCAACTCTGTTAATTGAGGACATACAGCACAAAGATGTGTCTGAGAATGCTTCTGTCTAGATTTTATATGAAGATATCCCGTGTCCAACGAAATCCTCAAAGGTATCAAAATATCCACTTGCAGATTCTACAAAAAGAGTGCTTCAAAACTGCTCTGTCAAAAGGAAGGTTCAACTCTGTTACTTGAGTACACACATCACAAGAAAGATTCTGAGAATGCTTCTGTCTGGTTTTTAGGAGAAGATATCTCCTTTTTCACCATAAGCTTCAAAGCGCTGCCAATGTCCACTTCCAAATATTACAAAAAGAGTATTTCAAACCAGCTCTATGAAAGGAATTGTTCAACTCTATGAGTTGAATGCAAACATCACAGAGAAGTTTCTGAGAATGCTTCTGTCTTGATTTTATATGAAGATATTCCCGTTTCCAACGAAACCTTCAAAGCTATCCAAATATCCACCTGCAGATCCTACAAAAAGAGTGTTTCCAAAATGCTGTATCAAAACAAAGGTTCAACTCTGTTAGTTGAGAACACACATCGCAAATAAGTTTCTGAGAATGCTTCTGTCTAGTTTTTATTTGAAGATACTTCCTTTTTCGCCACAGGCCTGAAAGCGCTTGAAACGTCCGCTTGCAGATACTACAGAAAGAGTGTTTCAAACCTGCTCTATGAAAGGGAATGTTCAGTTCTGTGACTTGAATGCAAACATCACAAAGAAGTTCCTGAGAATGCTTCTCTCTAGATTTTATATGTAATCCCGTTTCCAACGAAATCCTCAAAGCTATCCAAATATCCACTTTCAGATTCCACAAAAAGAGTGTTTCAAAACTGCTCTGTAAAAAGAAAGGTTCATCTCTGTTAGTTGAAGACACACATCACAAAGAAGTTTCTGAGAATGCTTCTGTCTAGTTTTTATGGGAAGATATTTCCTTTTTCAACATAGGCCTCAAAGCGCTCTAAATGTCCACCTCCAGGTAGTGCAGAAAGAGTGTTTCAAACCTGCTCTATAAAAGGGAATATTCAACTCTGTGACTTGAATGCAAACATCACAAAGCACTTTCTGAGAATGCTTCCGTCTAGATTTTATGTGAAGATATTCCCGTTTCCAAGGAAATCTTCCTAGCTATCTAAATATCAACTTGCAGATTCTACTAAAGGAACGTTTCCAAAATGCTGTATCCAAACAAAGGTTCAACTCTGTTAATTGAAGACATACAGCACAAAGAAGTTTCTGAGAATTCTTCTGTCTAGATTTAATATGAAGATAGCCCGTTTCCAAAGAAATCCTCAAAGGTATCCAAATATCTACTTGCAGATTCTACAAAAAGAGTGTTTCAAAACGGCTCTGTCAAAAGGAAGGTTCAACTCTGTTACTTGAGTACACACATTACAAGGAAGTTTCTGAGAATGCTTCTGTCTGGTTTTTAGGAGAAGATATTTCCTTTTTCAACATAGGCCTCAAAGCGCTGCAAATGTCCACTTCCAAATATTACAAAAAGAGTGTTTCAAACCTGCTCTATGAAGGGAAGTGTTCACCTCTATGAGTTGAATGCAAACATCACAGAGAAGTTTCTGAGAATGCTTCTGTCTTGATTTTATATGAAGATATTCCCGTTTCCAACGAAACCTTCAAAGCTATCCGAATATCCACCTGCAGATTCTACAAAAAGAGTGTTTCCAAAATGTTGTATCAATAGAAAGGTTCAACTCTGTTAGTTGAGGACACACATCACAAATAAGTTTCTGAGAATGCTTCTGTCTGGTTTTTATTTGAAGATATTTCCTTTCTCACCATTGGCCTGAAAGCGCTTGGAATGTCCGTTTGCAGATACTACAGAAACAGTGTTTCAAACCTGCTCTATGAAAGGGAATGTTCAGTTCTGTGACTTGAATGCAAACATCACAAAGAAGTTCCTGAGAATGCTTCTCCCTAGATTTTATATGTAATCCCGTTTCCAACGAAATCCTCAAAGCTATCCAAATATCCACTTTCAGATTCCACAAAAAGAGTGTTTCAAAACTGCTCTGTAAAAAGAAAGGTTCATATCTGTTAGTTGAATACACACATCACAAACAAGTTTCTGAGAATGCTTCTGTCTAGTTTTTATGGGAAGATATTTCCTTTTTCAACATAGGCCTCAAAGCGCTCGAAATGTCCACTTCCAGGTAGTGCACAGAGTGTTTCAAACCGGCTCTATGAAAGGAAGTCTTCAACTCTATGAGTTGAATGCAAACATCACAGAGAAGTTTCTGAGAATGCTTCTGTCTTTTTTTTATATGAAGATATTCCCGTTTCCAACGAAACCTTAAAAGCTATCCAAATATCCACCTGTAGATCCTACAAAAAGAGTGTTTCCAAAATGCTGTATCAAAACAAAGGTTCAACTCTGTTAGTTGAGAACACACATGGCAAATAAGTTTCTGAGAATGCTTCTGTCTAGTTTTTACTTGAAGATATTTCCTTTCTCACCATAGGCCTGAAAGCGCTTGAAACGTCAGCTTGCAGATACTACAGAAAGAGTGTTTCAAACCGGCTCTATGAAAGGGAATGTTCAGTTCTGTTACTTGAATGCAAACATCACAAAGAAGTTCCTGAGAATGCTTCTCTCTAGATTTTATATGTAATCCCGTTTCCAACGAAATCCTCAAAGCTATCCAAATATCCACTTTCAGATTCCACAAAAAGAGTGTTTCAAAACTGCTCTGTAAAAAGAAAGGTTCATCTCTGTTAGTTGAATACACACATCACAAACAAGTTTCTGAGAATGCTTCTGTCTAGTTTTTATGGGAAGATATTTCCTTTTTCAACATAGGCCTCAAAGCGCTCTAAATGTCCACCTCCAGGTAGTGCAGAAAGAGTGTTTCAAACCTGCTGTATAAAAGGGAATATTCAACTCTGTGACTTGAATGCAAACATCACAAAGCACTTTCTGAGAATGCTTCCGTCTAGATTTTATGTGAAGATATTCCCGTTTCCAAGGAAATCTTCCTAGCTATCTAAATATCAACTTGCAGATTCTACTAAAGGAAAGTTTCCAAAATGCTGTATCCAAACAAAGGTTCAACTCTGTTAATTGAAGACATACAGCACAAAGAAGTTTCTGAGAATGCTTCTGTCTAGATTTTATATGAAGATATCCCGTTTCCAAAGAAATCCTCAAAGGTATCCAAATATCTACTTGCAGATTCTACAAAAAGAGTGTTTCAAAACGGCTCTGTAAAAAGAAAGGTTCATCTCTGTTAGTTGAATACACACATCACAAACAAGTTTCTCAGAATGCTTCTGTCTAGTTTTTATGGGAAGATATTTCCTTTTTCAACATAGGCCTCAAAGCGCTCCAAATGTCCACTTCCAGGTAGTGCACAGAGTGTTTCAAACCTGCTCTATGAAAGGAAGTGTTCAACTCTATGAGTTGAATGCAAACATCACAGAGAAGTTTCTGAGAATGCTTCTGTCTTGATTTTATATGAAGATATTCCCGTTTCCAACGAAACCTTAAAAGCTATCCAAATATCCACCTGCAGATCCTACAAAAAGAGTGTTTCCAAAATGCTGTATCAAAACAAAGGTTCAACTCTGTTAGTTGAGGACACACATCGCAAATAAGTTTCTGAGAATGGTTCTGTCCAGTTTTTATGGGAAGATATTTCCTTTTTCAACATAGGACTCAAAGCGCTCCAAATGTCCACCTCCAGGTAGTGCAGAAAGAGTGTTTCAAACCTGCTCTATGAAAGGGAATGTTCAGTTCTGTGACTTGAATGCAAACATCACAAAGAAGTTCCTCAGAATGCTTCTCTCTAGGTTTTATATGTAATCCCGTTTCCAACGAAATCCTCAAAGCCATCCAAATATCCACTTTCAGATTCCACAAAAAGAGTGTTTCAAAACTGCTCTGTAAAAAGAAAGGTTCATCTCTGTTAGTTGAATACACACATCACAAACAAGTTTCTGAGAATGCTTCTGTCTAGTTTTGATGGGAAGATATTTCCTTTTTCAACATAGGCCTCAAAGTGCACCCAATGTCCACTTCCAGGTAGTGCACAGAGTGTTTCAAACCTGCTCTATAAAAGGGAACATTCTACTCTGTGACTTGAATGAAGACATCACAAAGCAGTTTCTGAGAATGCTTCCGTCAAGATTTTATATGAAGATATTCCCGTTTCCAAGGAAATCTTCCTAGCTATCTAAATATCAACTTGCAGATTCTACTAAAGGAATGTTTCCAAAATGCTGTATCCACACAAAGGTTCAACTCTGTTAATTGAGGACCTACAGCACAAAGAAGTTTCTGAGAATGCTTCTGTCTAGATTTTATATGAAGATATCCCGTTTCCAAAGAAATCCTCAAAGGTATCCAAATATCTACTTCCAGATTCTACAAAAAGACTGTTTCAAAACGGCTCTGTCAAAAGTAAGGTTCAACTCTGTTACTTGAGTACACACATCACAAGGAAGTTTCTGAGAATGCTTCTGTCTGGTTTTTAGGAGAAGATATTTCCTTTTTCAACATAGGCCTCAAAGCGCTGCAAATGTCCACTTCCAAATATTACAAAAAGAGTGTTTAAAACCTGCTGTATGAAAGGAAGTGTTCAACTCTATGAGTTGAATGCAAACATCACAGAGAAGTTTCTGAGAATGCTTCTGTCTTGATTTTATATGAAGATATTCCCGTTTCCAACGAAATCTTCAAAGCTATCCAAATATCCACTTGCAGATTCTACAAAAAGAGTGTTTCCAAAATGTTGTATCAAAACAAAGGTTCAACTCTGTTAGTTGAGGACACACATCGCAAATAAGTTTCTGAGAATGCTTCTGTCTAGTTTTTATTTGAAGATATTTCCTTTCTCACCATAGGCCTGAAAGCGCTTGAAATGTCCGTTTGCAGATACTACAGAAAGAGTGTTTCAAACATGCTCTATGAAAGGGAATGTTCAGTTCTGTGACGTGAATGAAAACATCACAAAGAAGTTCCTGAGAATGCTTCTCTCTAGATTTTATATGTAATCCCGTTTCCAACGAAATCCTCAAAGCTATCCAAATATCCACTTTCAGATTCCACAAAAAGAGTGTTTCAAAACTGCTCTGTAAAAAGAAAGGTTCATCTCTGTTAGTTGAATACACACATCACAAACAAGTTTCTGAGAATGCTTCTGTCTAGTTTTTATGGGAAGATATTTCCTTTTTCATCATAGGCCTCAAAGCGCTACAAATGTCCACTTCCAGGTAGTGCAGAAAGAGTGTCTCAAACCTGGTATATAAAAGGGAACATTCTACTCTGTGACTTCAATGAAAACATCACAAAGCAGTTTCTGAGAATGCTTCCGTCTAGATTTTATATGAAGATATTCCCGTTTCCAACGAAACCTTCAAAGCTATCCGAATATCCACCTGCAGATTCTACAAAAAGAGTGTTTCCAAAATGCCGTATCAAAACAAAGGTTCAACTCTGTTAGTTGAGAACACACATGGCAAATAAGTTTCTGAGAATGCTTCTGTCTAGTTTTTATGGGAAGATATTTCCTTTTTCAACATAGGCCTCAAAGCGCTCCAAATGTCCACTTCCAGGTAGTGCAGAAAGAGTGTTTCAAACCTGCTCTATAAAAGGGAATATTCAACTCTGTGACTTGAATGCAAACATCACAAAGCACTTTCTGAGAATGCTTCCGTCTAGATTTTATATGAAGATATTCCCGTTTCCAAGGAAATCTTCCTAGCTATCTAAATATCAACTTGCAGATTCTACTAAAGGAATGTTTCCAAAATGCTGTATCCACACAAAGGTTCAACTCTGTTAATTGAGGACATACAGCACAAAGAAGTGTCTGAGAATGCTTCTGTCTAGATTTTATATAAAGATATCCCGTTTCCAAAGAAATCCTCAAAGGTATCCAAATATCTACTTCCAGATTCTACAAAAAGACTGTTTCAAAACGGCTCTCTCAAAAGTAAGGTTCAACTCTGTTACTTGAATACACACATCACAGGGAAGTTTCTGAGAATGCTTCTGTCTGGTTTTTAGGAGAAGATATTTCCTTTTTCAACATAGGCCTCAAAGCGCTGCAAATGTCCACTTCCAAATATTTCAAAAAGAGTGTTTCAAACCTGCTGTATGAAGGGAAGTATTCACCTCTATGAGTTGAATGCAAACATCACAGAGAAGTTTCTGAGAATGCTTCTGTCTTGATTTTATATGAAGATATTCCCGTTTCCAACGAAACCTTCAAAGCTATCCAAATATCCACTTGCTGATTCTACAAAAAGAGTGGTTCCAAAATGTTGTATCAAAACAAAGGTTCAACTCTGTTAGTTGAGGACACACATCGCAAATAAGTTTCTGAGAATGCTTCTGTCTAGTTTTTATTTGAAGATATTTCCTTTCTCACCATAGGCCTGAAAGCGCTTGGAATGTCCGTTTGCAGATACTACAGAAACAGTGTTTCAAACCGGCTCTATGAAAGGGAATGTTCAGTTCTGTGACGTGAATGCAAACATCACAAAAAAGTTCCTGAGAATGTTTCTCTCTAGATTTTATATGTAATCCCGTTTCCAACAAAATCCTCAAATCTATCCAAATATCCACTTTCAGATTCCACAAAAAGAGTGTTTCAAAACTGCTCTTTAAAAAGAAAGGTTCATCTCTGTTAGTTGAATACACACATCACAAACAAGTTTCTGAGAATGCTTCTGTCTAGTTTTTATGGGAAGATATTTCCTTTTTCATCATAGGCCTAAAGCGCTCCAAATGTCCACTTCCAGGTAGTGCAGAAAGAGTGTCTCAAACCTGGTATATAAAAGGGAACATTCTACTCTGTGACTTGAATGAAAACATCACAAAGCAGTTTCTGAGAATGCTTCCGTCTAGATTTTATATGAAGTTATGCCCGTTTCCAACGAAACCTTCAAAGCTATCCGAATATCCACCTGCAGATTCTACAAAAAGAGTGTTTCCAAAATGCCGTATCAAAACAATGTTTCAACTCTGTTATTTGAGAAAACACATGGAAATAAGTTTCTGAGAAAGTTTCTGTCTAGTTTTTACTTGAAGATATTTCCTTTCTCACCATAGGCCTGAAAGCGCTTGAAACGTCAGCTTGCAGATACTACAGAAAGAGTGTTTCAAACATGCTCTATGAAAGGGAATGTTCAGTTCTGTGACTTGAATGCAAACATCACAAAGAAGTTCCTGAGAATGCTTCTCTCTAGATTTTATATGTAATCCCGTTTCCAACGAAATCCTCAAAGCTATCCAAATATCCACTTTCAGATTCCACAAAAAGAGTGTTTCAAAACTGCTCTGTAAAAAGAAAGGTTCATCTCTGTTAGTTGAATACAAACATCACAAACAAGTTTCTGAGAATTCTTCTGTCTAGTTTTTATGGGAAGATATTTCCTTTTTCAACATAGGCCTCAAAGCGCTCCAAATGTCCACTTCCAGGTAGTGCAGAAAGAGTGTTTCAAACCTGCTCTGTAAAAGGGAATATTCAACTCTGTGACTTGAATGCAAACATCACAAAGCACTTTCTGAGAATGCTTCCGTCTAGATTTTATATGAAGATATTCCCGTTTGCAAGGAAATCTTCCTAGCTATCTAAATATCAACTTGCAGATTCTACTAAAGGAATGTTTCCAAAATGCTGTATCGAAACAAAGGTTCAACTCTGTTAATTGAGGACATACAGCACAAAGAAGTGTCTGAGAATGCTTCTGTCTAGATTTTATATGAAGATATCCCATGTCCAACGAAATCTTCAAAGGTATCAAAATATCCACTTGCAGATTCTACAAAAAGAGTGCTTCAAAACTCCTCTGTCAAAAGGAAGGTTCAACTCTGTTACTTGAGTACACACATCACAAGAAAGATTCTGAGAATGCTTCTGTCTGGTTTTTAGGAGAAGATATCTCCTTTTTCAGCATAAGCTTCAAAGCGCTGCAAATGTCCACTTCCAAATATTACAAAAAGAGTATTTCAAACCAGCTCTATGAAAGGAAGTGTTCAACACTATGAGTTGAATGCAAACATCACAAAGAAGTTCCTGAGAATGCTTCTCCCTAGATTTTATATGTAATCCCGTTTCCAACGAAATCCTCATAGCTATCCAAATATCCACTTTCAGATTCCACAAAAAGAGTGTTTCAAAACTGCTCTGTAAAAAGAAAGGTTCATCTGTGTTAGTTGAATACACACGTCACAAACAAGTTTCTGAGAATGCTTCTGTCTAGTTTTTATGGGAAGATATTTCCTTTTTCAACATAGGCCTCAAAGCGCTCCAAATGTCCACTTCCAGGTAGTGCACAGAGTGTTTCAAACCTGCTCTATGAAAGGAAGACTTCAACTCTATGAGTTGAATGCAAACATCACAGAGAAGTTTCTGAGAATGCTTTTGTCTTGATTTTATATGAAGATATTCCCGTTTCCAACGAAACCTTAAAAGCTATCCAAATATCCACCTGCAGATCCTACAAAAAGAGTGTTTCCAAAATGCTGTATCAAAACAAAGGTTCAACTCTGTTAGTTGAGAACACAAATCGCAAATAAGTTTCTGAGAATGCTTCTGTCTAGTTTTTATTTGAAGATATTTCCGTTTTCACCACAGGCCTGAAAGCGCTTGAAACGTCCGCTTGCAGATACTACAGAAAGAGTGTTTCAAAGCTGCTCTATGAAAGGGAATGTTCAGTTCTGTGACTTGAATGCAAATATCACAAAGAAGTTCCTGAGAATGCTTCTCCCTAGATTTTATATGTAATCCCGTTTCCAACGAAACCCTCAAAGCTGTCCAAATATCCACTTTCAGATTCCACAAAAAGAGTGTTTCAAAATTGCTCTGTAAAAAGAAAGGTTCATCTCTGTTAGTTGAATACACACATCACAAACAAGCTTCTGAGAATGCTTCTGTCTAGTTTTTATGGGAAGATATTTCCTTTTTCAACATAGGCCTCAAAGCGCTCCAAATGTCCACTTCCAGGTAGTGCAGAAAGAGTGTTTCAAACCTGCTCTATAAAAGGGAATATTCAACTCTGTGACTTGAATGCAAACATCACAAAGCACTTTCTGAGAATGCTTCCGTCTAGATTTTATATGAAGATATTCCCGTTTGCAAGGAAATCTTCCTAGCTATCTAAATATGAACTTGCAGATTCTACTAAAGGAATGTTTCCAAAATGCCGTATCGAAACAAAGGTTCAACTCTGTTAATTGAGGATATACAGCACAAAGAAGTGTCTGCGAATGCTTCTGTCTAGATTTTATATGAAGATATCCCATGTCCAACGAAATCCTCAAAGGTATCAAAATATCCACTTGCAGATTCTACAAAAAGAGTGCTTCAAAACTGCTCTGGCAAAAGGAAGGTTCAACTCTGTTACTTGAGTACACACATCAGAAGGAAGTTTCTGAGAATGCTTCTGTCTGGTTTTTAGGAGAAGATATTTCCTTTTTCAACATAGGCCTCAAAGCGCTGCAAATGTCCACTTCCAAATATTACAAAAAGAGTGTTTCTAACCTGCTCTATGAAGGGAAGTGTTCACCTCTATGAGTTGAATGCAAACATCACAGAGAAGTTTCTGAGCATGCTTCTGTCTTGATTTCATATGAAGATATTCCCGTTTCCAACGAAACCTTCAAAGCTATCCAAATATCCACTTGCAGATTCTACAAAAAGAGTGGTTCCAAAATGTTGTATCAAAACAAAGGTTCAACTCTGTTAGTTGAGGACACACATCGCAAATAAGTTTCTGAGAATGCTTCTGTCTAGTTTTTATTTGAAGATATTTCCTTTCTCACCACAGGCCTGAAAGCGCTTGAAACGTCCGTTTGCAGATACTACAGAAAGAGTGTTTCAAACATGCTCTATGAAAGGGAATGTTCAGTTCTGTGACGTGAATGCAAACATCACAAAGAAGTTCCTGAGAATGCTTCTCTCTAGATTTTATATGTAATCTCGTTTCCAACGAAATCCTCAAAGCTATCCAAATATCCACTTTCAGATTCCACAAAAAGAGTGTTTCGAAACTGCTCTGTAAAAAGAAAGATTCATCTCTGTTAGTTGAATACACACATCACAAACAAGTTTCTGAGAATGCTTCTGTCTAGTTGTTATGGGAATATATTTCCTTTTTCATCATAGGCCTCAAAGCACTCCAAAAGTCCACTTCCAGGTAGTGCAGAAAGAGTGTCTCAAACCTGGTAGAGAAAAGGGAACATTCTACTCCGTGACTTGAATGAAAACATCACAAAGCAGTTTCTGAGAATGCTTCCGTCTAGATTTTATATGAAGATATTCCCGTTTCCAACGAAACCTTCAAAGCTATCCGAATATCCACCTGCAGATTCTAAAAAAAGAGTGTTTCCAAAATGCCGTATCAAAACAAAGTTTCAACTCTGTTAGTTGAGAACACACATGGCAAATATGTTTCTGAGAATGCTTCTGTCTGGTTTTTACTTGAAGATATTTCCTTTCTCACCATAGGCCTGAAAGCGCTTGAAACGTCAGCTTGCAGATACTACAGAAAGAGTGTTTCAAACATGCTCCATGAAAGGGAATGTTCAGTTCTGTGACTTGAATGCAAACATCACAAAGAAGTTCCTGAGAATGCTTCTCTCTAGGTTTTATATGTAATCCCGTTTCCAACGAAATCCTCAAAGCTATCCAAGTATCCACTTTCAGATTCCACAAAAAGAGTGTTTCAAAACTGCTCTGTAAAAAGAAAGGTTCATCTCTGTTAGTTGAATACACACATCACAAAGAAGTTTCTGAGAATGCTTCTGTCTAGTTTTTATGGGAAGATATTTCCTTTTTCAACATAGGCCTCAAAGCGCTCCAAATGTCCACTTCCAGGTAGTGCAGAAAGAGTGTTTCAAACCTGCTCTATAAAAGGGAATATTCAACTCTGTGACTTGAATGCAAACATCACAAAGCACTTTCTGAGAATGCTTCCGTATAGATTTTATATGAAGATATTCCCGTTTCCAAGGAATTCTTCCTAGCTATCTAAATATCAACTTGCAGATTCTACTAAAGGAATGTTTCCAAAATGCTGTATCCACACAAAGGTTCAACTCTGTTAATTGAGGACATACAGCACAAAGAAGTGTCTGAGAATGCTTCTGTCTAGATTTTATATAAAGATATCCCGTTTCCAAAGAAATCCTCAAAGGTATCCAAATATCTACTCCCAGATTCTACAAAAAGACTGTTTCAAAACGGCTCTCTCAAAAGTAAGGTTCAACTCTGTTACTTGAGTACACACATCACAAGGAAGTTTCTGAGAATGCTTCTGTCTGGTTTTTAGGAGAAGATATTTCCTTTTTCAACATAGGCCTCAAAGCGCTGCAAATGTCCACTTCCAAATATTTCAGAAAGAGTGTTTCAAACCTGCTCTATGAAGGGAAGTGTTCACCTCTATGAGTTGAATGCAAACATCACAGAGAAGTTTCTGAGAATGCTTCTGTCTTGATTTTATATGAAGATATTCCCGTTTCCAACGAAACCTTCAAAGCTATCCAAATATCCACTTGCTGATTCTACAAAAAGAGTGGTTCCAAAATGTTGTATCAAAACAAAGGTTCAACTCTGTTAGTTGAGGACACACATCGCAAATAAGTTTCTGAGAATGCTTCTGTCTAGTTTTTATTTGAAGATATTTCCTTTCTCACCATAGGCCTGAAAGCGCTTGGAATGTCCGTTTGCAGATACTACAGAAACAGTGTTTCAAACCGGCTCTATGAAAGGGAATGTTCAGTTCTGTGACGTGAATGCAAACATCACAAAAAAGTTCCTGAGAATGTTTCTCTCTAGATTTTATATGTAATCCCGTTTCCAACGAAATCCTCAAAGCTATCCAAATATCCACTTTCAGATTCCACAAAAAGAGTGTTTCAAAACTGCTCTGTAAAAAGAAAGGTTCATCTCTGTTAGTTGAATACACACATCACAAACAAGTTTCTGAGAATGCTTCTGTCTAGTTTTTATGGGAAGATATTTCCTTTTTCAACATAGGCCTCAAAGCGCTCCAAATGTCCACTTCCAGGTAGTGCAGAAAGAGTGTTTCAAACCTGCTCTGTAAAAGGGAATATTCAACGCTGTGACTTGAATGCAAACATCACAAAGCACTTTCTGAGAATGCTTCCGTCTAGATTTTATATGAAGATATTCCCGTTTCCAAGGAAATCTTCCTAGCTATCTAAATATCAACTTGCAGATTCTACTAAAGGAATGTTTCCAAAATGCTGTATCCACACAAAGGTTCAACTCTGTTAATTGAGGACATACAGCACAAATAAGTTTCTGAGAATGCTTCTGTCTAGATTTTATATGAAGATATCCCATGTCTAACGAAATCCCCAAAGGTATCAAAATATCCCCTTGCAGATTCTACAAAAAGAGTGCTTCAAAACTGCTCTGTCAAAATGAAGGTTCAACTCTGTTACTTGAGTACACACATCACAAGAAAGATTCTGAGAATGCTTCTGTCTGGTTTTTAGGGGAAGATATCTCCTTTTTCACCATAGGCTTCAAAGCGCTGCCAATGTCCACTTCCAAATATTACAAAAAGAGTATTTCAAACCAGCTCTATGAAAGGAAGTGTTCAACTCTATGAGTTGAAGGCAAACATCACATAGAAGTTTCTGAGAATGCTTCTGTCTAGTTTTCATGGGAAGATATTTCCTTTTTCAACATAGGCCTCAAAGCGCTCCCAATGTCCACTTCCACGTAGTGCACAGAGTGTTTCAAACCTGCTCTATAAAAGGGAACATTCTACTCTGTGACTTGAATGAAGACATCACAAAGCAGTTTCTGAGAATGCTTCCGTCTAGATTTTATATGAAGATATTCCCGTTTCCAAGGATATCTTCCTAGCTATCTAAATATCAACTTGCAGATTCTACTAAAGGAATGTTTCCAAAATGCTGTATCCACACAAAGGTTCAACTCTGTTAATGGAGGACACACAGCAAGAAGAAGTTTCTGAGAATGCTTCTGTCTAGATTTTATATGAAGATATCCCGTTTCCAAAGAAATCCTCAAAGGTATCCAAATATCTACTTGCAGATTCTACAAAAAGAGTGTTTCAAAACGGCTCTGTAAAAGGAAGGTTCAACTCTGTTATTTGAGTACACTCATCACAAGGAAGTTTCTGAAAATGCTTCTGTCTGGTTTTTAGGAGAAGATATTACCTTTTTCACCATCGGCCTCAAAGCGGTGCTAAAGTCCACTTCCGAATATCACAAAGAGTGTTTCAAACGTGCTCTATGAAAGGAAGTGTTCAACTCTATGAGTTGAATGCAAACATCACAGAGAAGTTTCTGAGAATGCTTCTGATTTGATTTTATATGAAGATATTCCCGTTTCTAAAGAAACCTTCAAAGCTATCCAAGTATTCACCTGCAGATTCTCCCAAAAGAGTGTTTGCAAAATGTTGTATCAAAACAAAGGTTCAACTCTGTTAGTTGAGGACACACATCGCAAATAAGTTTCTGAGAATGCTTCTGTCTAGTTTTTATTTGAAGATAATTCCTTTCTCACCATAGGCCTGAAAGCGCTTGAAATGTCCGCTTGCAGATACTACAGAAAGAGTGTTTCAAACCTGCTCTATGAAAGGGAATGTTCAGTTCTGTGACTTGAATGCAAACATCACAAAGAAATTCCTGAGAATGCTTCTCTCTAGATTTTATATGTAATCCCGTTTCCAACGAAATCGTCAAAGCTGTCCACATATCCACTTTCAGATTCCACAAAAAGAGTGTTTCAAAACTGCTCTGTAAAAAGAAAGGTTCATCTCTGTTAGTTGAATACACACATCACAAACAAGTTTCTGAGAATGCTTCTGTCTAGTTTTTATGGGAAGATATTTCCTTTTTCAACATAGGCCTCAAAGCGCTCCAAATGTCCACTTCCAGGTAGTGCAGAAAGAGTGTCTCAAACCTGGTATATAAAAGGGAACATTCTACTCTGTGACTTGAATGAAAACATTACAAAGCAGTTTCTGAGAATGCTTCCGTCTAGATTTTATATGAAGATATTCCCGTTTCCAACGAAACCTTCAAAGCTATTCGAATATCCACCTGCAGATTCTACAAAAAGAGTGTTTCCAAAATGCCGTATCAAAACAAAGGTTCAACTCTGTTAGTTGAGAACACACATGGCAAATAAGTTTCTGAGAATGTTTCTGTCTAGTTTTTACTTGAAGATATTTCCTTTCTCACCATAGGCCTGAAAGCGCTTGAAACGTCAGCTTGCAGATACCACAGAAAGAGTGTTTCACACCTGCTCTATGAAAGGGAATGTTCAGTTCTGTGACTTGAATGCAAACATCACAAAGAAGTTCCTGAGAATGCTTCTCCCTAGATTTTATATGTAATCCCGTTTCCAACGAAATCCTCAAAGCTATCCAAATATCCACTTTCAGATTCCACAAAAAGAGTGTTTCAAAACTGCTCTGTAAAAAGAAAGGTTCATCTCAGTTGAATACACACATCACAAACAAGTTTCTGAGAATGCTTCTGTCTAGTTTCTATGGGAAGATATTTCCTTTTTCAACATAGGCCTCAAAGCGCTCCAAATGTCCACTTCCAGGTAGTGCACTGAGTGTTTCAAACCTGCTCTATAAAAGGGAACATTCTGCTCTGTGACTTGAATGAAGACATCACAAAGCAGTTTCTGAGAATGCTTCCGTCTAGATTTTATGTGAAGATATTCCCGTTTCCAAGGAAATCTTCCTAGCTATCTAAATATCAACTTGCAGATTCTACTAAAGGAGTGTTTCCAAAATGCTGTATCCACACAAAGGTTCAACTCTGTTAATTGAGGACATACAGCACAAAGAAGTTTCTGAGAATGCTTCTGTCTAGATGTTATATGAAGATATCCCGTTTCCAAAGAAATCCTCAAAGGTATCCAAATATCTACTTCCAGATTCTACAAAAAGACTGTTTCAAAACGGCTCTGTCAAAAGTAAGGTTCAACTCTGTTACTTGAGTACACACATCACAAGGAAGTTTCTGAGAATGCTTCTGTCTGGTTTTTAGGAGAAGATATTTCCTTTTTCAACATAGGCCTCAAAGCGCTGCAAATGTCCACTTCCAAATATTACAAAAAGAGTGTTTCAAACCTGCTGTATGAAGGGAAGTGTTCAACTCTATGAGTTGAATGCAAACATCACAGAGAAGTTTCTGAGAATGCTTCTGTCTTGATTTTATATGAAGATATTCCCGTTTCCAACGAAACCTTCAAAGCTATCCAAATATCCACTTGCAGATTCTACAAAAAGAGTGTTTCCAAAATGTTGTATCAAAAGAAAGGTTCAACTCTGTTAGTTGAGGACACACATCGCAAATAAGTTTCTGAGAATGCTTCTGTCTAGTTTTTATTTGAAGATATTTCCTTTCTCACCATAGGCCTGAAAGCGTTTGAAATGTCCGTTTGCAGATACTACAGAAAGAGTGTTTCAAACATGCTCTATGAAAGGGAATGTTCAGTTCTGTGACGTGAATGCAAACATCACAAAGAAGTTCCTGAGAATGCTTCTCTCTAGATTTTATATGTAATCCCGTTTCCAACGAAATCCTCAAAGCTATCCAAATATCCACTTTCAGATTCCACAAAAAGAGTGTTTCAAAACTGCTCTGTAAAAAGAAAGGTTCATCTCTGTTAGTTGAATACACACATCACAAACAAGTTTCTGAGAATGCTTCTGTCTAGTTTTTATGGGAAGATATTTCCTTTTTCATCATAGGCCTCAAAGCGCTCCAAATGTCCACTTCCAGGTAGTGCAGAAAGAGTGTCTCAAACCTGGTATATAACAGGGAACATTCTACTCTGTGACTTGAATGAAAACATCACAAAGCAGTTTCTGAGAATGCTTCCGTCTAGATTTTATATGAAGATATTCCCGTTTCCAAGGAAATCTTCCTAGCTATCTAAATATCAACTTGCAGATTCTACTAAAGGAATGTTTCCAAAATGCTGTATCCACACAAAGCTTCAACTCTGTTAATTGAGGACATACAGCACAAAGAAGTTTCTGAGAATGCTTCTGTCTAGATTTTATATGAAGATATCCCGTGTCCAACGAAATCCTCAAATGTATCAAAATATCCCCTTTCAGTTTCTACAAAAAGAGTGCTTCAAAACTGCTCTGTCAAAATGAAGGTTCAACTCTGTTACTTGAGTACACACATCACAAGAAAGATTCTGAGAATGCTTCTGTCTGGTTTTTAGGAGAAGATATCTCCTTTTTCACCATAGGCTTCAAAGCGCTGCCCATGTCCACTTCCAAATATTACAAAAAGAGTATTTCAAACCAGCTCTATGAAAGGAAGTGTTCAACTCTGTGAGTTGAATGCAAACATCACAGAGAAGTTTCTGAGAATGCTTCTGTGTTGATTTTATATGAAGATATTCCCGTTTCCAACGAAACCTTCAAAGCTATCCAAATATCCACCTGCAGATCCTACAAAAAGAGTGTTTCCAAAATGCTGTATCAAAACAAAGGTTCAACTCTGTTAGTTGAGAACACACATCGCAAATAAGTTTCTGAGAATGCTTCTGTCTAGTTTTTATTTGAAGATATTTCCTCTTTCACCACAGGCCTGAAAGCGCTAGAAACGTCCGCTTGCAGATACTACAGAAAGAGTGTTTCAAACCTGCTCTATGAAAGGGAATGTTCAGTTCTGTGACTTGAATGCAAACATCACAGAGGAGTTCCTGAGAATGCTTATCCCTAGATTTTATATGTAATCCCGTTTCCAACGAAATCCTCAAAGCTATCCAAATATCCACTTTCAGATTCCACAAAAAGAGTGTTTCAAAACTGCTCTGTAAAAAGAAAGGTTCATCTCTGTTAGTTGAATACACACATCACAAACAAGTTTCTGAGAATGCTTCTGTCTAGTTTTTATGGGAAGATATTTCCTTTTTCAACATAGGCCTCAAAGCGCTCCAAACGTCCACTTCCAGGTAGTGCACAGAGTGTTTCAAACCTGCTCTATGAAAGGAAGTGTTCAACTCTATGAGTTGAAGGCAAACATCACAGAGAAATTTCTGAGAATGCTTCTGTCTTGATTTTATATGAGGATATTCCCGTTTCCAACGAAACCATCAAAGCTATCCAAATATCCACCTGCAGATCCTACAAAAAGAGTGTTTCCAAAATGCTGTATCAAAACAAAGGTTCAACTCTGTTAGTTGAGAACACACATCGCAAATAAGTTTCTGAGAATGCTTCTGTCTAGTTTTTATTTGAAGATATTTCCTTTTTCACCACAGGCCTGAAAGCGCTTGAAAAGTCCGCTTGCAGATACTACAGAAAGAGTGTTTCAAACCTGCTCTATGAAAGGGAATGTTCAGTTCTGTGACTTGAATGCAAACATCACAAAGAAGTTCCTGGGAATGCTTCTCCCTAGATTTTATATGTAATCCCGTTTCCAACGAAATCCTCAAAGCTATCCAAATATCCACTTTCAGATTCCACAAAAAGAGTGTTTCAAAACTGCTCTGTAAAAAGAAAGGTTCATCTCTGTTAGTTGAATACACACATCACAAACAAGTTTCTGAGAATGCTTCTGTCTAGTTTTTATGGGAAGATATTTCCTTTTTCATCATAGGCCTCAAAGCGCTGCAAATGTCCACTTCCAAATATTACAAAAAGAGTGTTTCAAACCTGCTGTATGAAGGGAAGTATTCAACTCTATGAGTTGAATGTAAACATCACAGAGAAGTTTCTGAGAATGCTTCTGTCTTGATTTTATATGAAGATATTCCCGTTTCCTACGAAACCTTCAAAGCTATCCTAATATCCACTTGCAGATTCTACAAAAAGAGTGTTTCCAAAATGTTGTATCAAAAGAAAGGTTCAACTCTGTTAGTTGAGGACACACATCGCAAATAAGTTTCTGAGAATGCTTCTGTCTAGTTTTTATTTGAAGATATTTCCTTTCTCACCATAGGCCTGAAAGCGTTTGAAATGTCCGTTTGCAGATACTACAGAAAGAGTGTTTCAAACATGCTCTATGAAAGGGAATGTTCAGTTCTGCGACGTGAATGCAAACATCACAAAGAAGTTCCTGAGAATGCTTCTCTCTAGATTTTATATGTAATCCCGTTTCCAACGAAATCCTCAAAGCTATCCAAATATCCACTTTCAGATTCCACAAAAAGAGTGTTTCAAAACTGCTCTGTAAAAAGAAAGGTTCATCTCTGTTAGTTGAATACACACATCACAAACAAGTTTCTGAGAATGCTTCTGTCTAGTTTTTATGGGAAGATATTTCCTTTTTCAACATAGGCCTCAAAGCGCTCCAAATGTCCACTTCCAGGTAGTGCACAGAGTGTTTCAAACCTGCTCTATGAAAGGAAGTGTTCAACTCTATGAGTTGAAGGCAAACATCACAGAGAAGTTTCTGAGAATGCTTCTGTCTTGATTTTATATGAGGATATTCCCGTTTCCAACGAAACCATCAAAGCTATCCAAATATCCACCTGCAGATCCTACAAAAAGAGTGTTTCCAAAATGCTGTATCAAAACAAAGGTTCAACTCTGTTAGTTGAGAACACACATCGCAAATAAGTTTCTGAGAATGCTTCTGTCTAGTTTTTATTTGAAGATATTTCCTTTTTCACCACAGGCCTGAAAGCGCTTGAAACGTCCGCTTGCAGATACTACAGAAAGAGTGTTTCAAAGCTGCTCTATGAAAGGGAATGTTCAGTTCTGTGACTTGAATGCAAATATCACAAAGAAGTTCCTGAGAATGCTTCTCCCTAGATTTTATATGTAATCCCGTTTCCAACGAAACCCTCAAAGCTATCCAAATATCCACTTTCAGATTCCACAAAAAGAGTGTTTCAAAACTGCTCTGTAAAAAGAAAGGTTCATCTCTGTTAGTTGAATACACACATCACAAACAAGTTTCTGAGAATGCTTCTGTCTAGTTTTTATGGGAAGATATTTCCTTTTTCAACATAGGCCTCAAAGCGCTCCCAATGTCCACTTCCACGTAGTGCTCAGAGTGTTTCAAACCTGCTCTATAAAAGGGAACATTCTACTCTGTGACTTGAATGAAGACATCACAAAGCAGTTTCTGAGAATGCTTCCGTCTAGATTTTATATGAAGATATTCCCGTTTCCAAGGATATCTTCCTAGCTATCTAAATATCAACTTGCAGATTCTACTAAAGGAATGTTTCCAAAATGCTGTATCCACACAAAGGTTCAACTCTGTTAATGGAGGACACACAGCAAGAAGAAGTTTCTGAGAATGCTTCTGTCTAGATTTTATATGAAGATATCCCGTTTCCAAAGAAATCCTCAAAGGTATCCAAATATCTACTTGCAGATTCTACAAAAAGAGTGTTTCAAAACGGCTCTGTAAAAGGAAGGTTCAACTCTGTTATTTGAGTACACTCATCACAAGGAAGTTTCTGAAAATGCTTCTGTCTGGTTTTTAGGAGAAGATATTACCTTTTTCACCATCGGCCTCAAAGCGGTGCTAAAGTCCACTTCCGAATATCACAAAGAGTGTTTCAAACGTGCTCTATGAAAGGAAGTGTTCAACTCTATGAGTTGAATGCAAACATCACAGAGAAGTTTCTGAGAATGCTTCTGTTTTGATTTTATATGAAGATATTCCCGTTTCTAAAGAAACCTTCAAAGCTATCCAAGTATTCACCTGCAGATTCTCCCAAAAGAGTGTTTGCAAAATGTTGTATCAAAACAAAGGTTCAACTCTGTTAGTTGAGGACCCACATCGCAAATAAGTTTCTGAGAATGCTTCTGTCTAGTTTTTATTTGAAGATAATTCCTTTCTCACCATTGGCCTGAAAGCGCTTGAAATGTCCGCTTGCAGATACTACAGAAAGAGTGTTTCAAACATGCTCTATGAAAGGGAATGTTCAGTTCTGTGACTTGAATGCAAACATCACAAAGAAATTCCTGAGAATGCTTCTCTCTAGATTTTATATGCAATCCCGTTTCCAACGAAATCGTCAAAGCTATCCACATATCCACTTTCAGATTCCACAAAAAGAGTGTTTCAAAACTGCTCTGTAAAAAGAAAGGTTCATCTCTGTTAGTTGAATACACACATCACAAACAAGTTTCTGAGAATGCTTCTGTCTAGTTTTTATGGGAAGATATTTCCTTTTTCATCATAGGCCTCAAAGCGCTCCAAATGTCCATTTCCATGTAGTGCAGAAAGAGTGTCTCAAACCTGGTATATAAAAGGGAACATTCTACTCTGTGACTTGAATGAAAACATTACAAAGCAGTTTCTGAGAATGCTTCCGTCTAGATTTTATATGAAGATATTCCCGTTTCCAACGAAACCTTCAAAGCTATTCGAATATCCACCTGCAGATTCTACAAAAAGAGTGTTTCCAAAATGCCGTATCAAAAGAAAGGTTCAACTCTGTTAGTTGAGGACACACATCGCAAATAAGTTTCTGAGAATGCTTCTGTCTAGTTTTTATTTGAAGATATTTCCTTTCTCACCATAGGCCTGAAAGCGTTTGAAATGTCCCTTTGCAGATACTACAGAAAGAGTGTTTCAAACATGCTCTATGAAAGGGAATGTTCAGTTCTGTGACGTGAATGCAAACATCACAAAGAAGTTCCTGAGAATGCTTCTCTCTAGATTTTATATGTAATCCCGTTTCCAACGAAATCCTCAAAGCTATCCAAATATCCACTTTCAGATTCCACAAAAAGAGTGTTTCAAAACTGCTCTGTAAAAAGAAAGGTTCATCTCTGTTAGTTGAATACACACATCACAAACAAGTTTCTGAGAATGCTTCTGTCTAGTTTTTATGGGAAGATATTTCCTTTTTCAACATAGGCCTCAAAGCCCTCCAAATGTCCACTTCCAGGTAGTGCAGAAAGAGTGTTTCAAACCTGCTCTATAAAAGGGAATATTCAACTCTGTGACTTGAATGCAAACATCACAAAGCACTTTCTGAGAATGCTTCCGTCTAGATTTTATATGAAGGTATTCCCGTTTCTAAGGAAATCTTCCTAGCTATCTAAATATCAACTTGCAGATTCTACTAAAGGAATGTTTCCAAAATGCTGTATCCACACAAAGGTTCAACTCTGTTAATTGAGGACATACAGCACAAAGAAGTTTCTGAGAATGCTTCTGTCTAGATTTTATATGAAGATATCCCGTGTCTAACGAAATCCTCAAAGGTATCAAAATATCCACTTGCAGATTCTACAAAAAGAGTGCTTCAAAACTGCTCTGTCAAAATGAAGGTTCAACTCTGTTACTTGAGTACACACATCACAAGAAAGATTCTGAGAATGCTTCTGTCTGGTTTTTAGGAGAAGATATCTCCTTTTTCACCATAGGCTTCAAAGCGCTGCCAATGTCCACTTCCAAATATTACAAAAAGAGTATTTCAAACCAGCTCTAAGAAAGGAAGTGTTCAACTCTATGAGTTGAATGCAAACATCACAGAGAAGTTTCTGAGAATGCTTCTGTGTTGATTTTATATGAAGATATTCCCGTTTCCAACGAAACCTTCAAACCTATCCAAATATCCACCTGCAGATCCTACAAAAAGAGTGTTTCCAAAATGCTGTATCAAAACAAAGGTTCAACTCTGTTAGTTGAGAACACACATCGCAAATAAGTTTCTGAGAATGCTTCTGTCTAGTTTTTATTTGAAGATATTTCCTTTTTCACCACAGGCCTGAAAGCGCTTGAAACGTCCGCTTGCAGATACTACAGAAAGAGTGTTTCAAACCTGCTCTATGAAAGGGAATGTTCAGTTCTGTGACTTGAATGCAAACATCACAAAGGAGTTCCTGAGAATGCATCTCCCTAGATTTTATATGTAATCCCGTTTCCAACGAAATCTTCAAAGCTATCCAAATATCCACTTTCAGATTCCACAAAAAGAGTGTTTCAAAACTGCTCTGTAAAAAGAAAGGTTCATCTCTGTTAGTTGAATACACACATCACAAACAAGTTTCTGAGTATGCTTCTGTCTAGTTTTTATGGGAAGATAATTCCTTTTTCAACATAGGTCTCAAAGCGCTCAAAATGTCCACTTCCAGGTAGTGCACAGAGTGTTTCAAACCTGCTCTATGAAAGGAAGTGTTCAACTCTATGAGTTGAAGGCAAACATCACATAGAAGTTTCTGAGAATGCTTCTGTCTTGATTTTATATGAGGATATTCCCGTTTCCAACGAAACCATCAAAGCTATCCAAATATCCACCTGCAGATCCTACAAAAAGAGTGTTTCCAAAATGCTGTATCAAAACAAAGGTTCAACTCTGTTAGTTGAGAACACACATCGCAAATAAGTTTCTGAGAATGATTCTGTCTAGTTTTTATTTGAAGATATTTCCTTTTTCACCACAGGCCTGAAAACGCTTGAAACGTCCGCTTGCAGATACTACAGAAAGAGTGTTTCAAACCTGCTCTATGAAAGGGAATTTTCAGTTCTGTGACTTGAATGCAAACATCAAATAGAAGTTCCTGAGAATGCTTCTCCCTAGATTTTATATGTAATCCCGTTTCCAACGAAATCCTCAAAGCTATCCAAATATCCACTTTCAGATTCCACAAAAAGAGTGTTTCAAAACTGCTCTGTAAAAAGAAAGGTTCATCTCAGTTGAATACACACATCACAAACAAGTTTCTGAGAATGCTTCTGTCTAGTTTCTATGGGAAGATATTTCCTTTTTCAACATAGGCCTCAAAGCGCTCCAAATGTCCACTTCCAGGTAGTGCACTGAGTGTTTCAAACCTGCTCTATAAAAGGGAACATTCTGCTCTGTGACTTGAATGAAGACATCACAAAGCAGTTTCTGAGAATGCTTCCGTCTAGATTTTATGTGAATATATTCCCGTTTCCAAGGAAATCTTCCTAGCTATCTAAATATCAACTTGCAGATTCTACTAAAGGAGTGTTTCCAAAATGCTGTATCCACACAAAGGTTCAACTCTGTTAATTGAGGACATACAGCACAAAGAAGTTTCTGAGAATGCTTCTGTCTAGATGTTATATGAAGACATCCCGTTTCCAAAGAAATCCTCAAAGGTATCCAAATATCTACTTCCAGATTCTACAAAGAGACTGTTTCAAAACGGCTCTGTCAAAAGTAAGGTTCAACTCTGTTACTTGAGTACACACATCACAAGGAAGTTTCTGAGAATGCTTCTGTCTGGTTTTTAGGAGAAGATATTTCCTTTTTCAACATAGGCCTCAAAGCGCTGCAAATGTCCACTTCCAAATATTACAGAAAGAGTGTTTCAAACCTGCTGTATGAAGGGAAGTGTTCAACTCTATGAGTTGAATGCAGACATCACAGAGAAGTTTCTGAGAATGCTTCTGTCTTGATTTTATATGAAGATATTCCCGTTTCCAACGAAACCTTCAAAGCTATCCAAATATCCACTTGCAGATTCTACAAAAAGAGTGTTTCCAAAATGTTGTATCAAAAGAAAGGTTCAACTCTGTTAGTTGAGGACACACATCGCAAATAAGTTTCTGAGAATGCTTCTGTCTAGTTTTTATTTGAAGATATTTCCTTTCTCACCATAGGCCTGAAAGCGCTTGAAACATCAGCTTGCAGATACTACAGAAAGAGTGTTTCAAACCTGGTCTATGAAAGGGAATGTTCAGTTCTGTGACTTGAATGCAAACATCACAAAGAAGTTCCTGAGAATGCTTCTCTCTAGGTTTTATATGTAATCCCGTTTCCAACAAAATCCTCAAAGCTATCCAAATATCCACTTTCAGATTCCACAAAAAGAGTGTTTCAAAACTGCTCTGTAAAAAGAAAGGTTCATCTCTGTTAGTTGAATACACACATCGCAAACAAGTTTCTGAGAATGCTTCTGTCTAGTTTCTATGGGAAAATACTTCCTTTTTCAACATAGGCCTCAAAGCGCTCCAAATGTCCACTTCCAGGTAGTGCACTGAGTGTTTCAAACCTGCTCTATAAAAGGGAACATTCTACTCTGTGACTTGAATGAAGACATCACAAAGCAGTTTCTGAGAATGCTTCCGTCTAGATTTTATGTGAAGATATTCCCGTTTCCAAGGAAATCTTCCTAGCTATCTAAATATCAACTTGCAGATTCTACTAAAGGAGTGTTTCCAAAATGCTGTATCCACACAAAGGTTCAACTCTGTTAATTGAGGACATACAGCACAAAGAAGTTTCTGAGAATGCTTCTGTCTAGATTTTATATGAAGATATCACGTTTCCAAAGAAATCCTCAAAGGTATCCAAATATCTTCTTCCAGATTCTACAAAAAGACTGTTTCAAAACTGCTCTGTCAAAAGGAAGGTTCAACTCTGTTACTTGAGTACACACATCACAAGGAAGTTTCTGAGAATGCTTCTGTCTGGTTTTTAGGAGAAGATATTTCCTTTTTCAACATAGGCCTCAAAGCGCTGCAAATGTCCACTTCCAAATATTACAAAAAGAGTGTTTCAAACCTGCTGTATGAAGGGAAGTGTTCAACTCTATGAGTTGAATGCAAACATCGCAGAGAAGTTTCTGAGAATGCTTCTGTCTTGATTTTATATGAAGATATTACCGTTTCCAACGAAACCTTCAAAGCTATCCAAATATCCACTTGCAGATTCTACAAAAAGAGTGTTTCCAAAATGTTGTATCAAAAGAAAGGTTCAACTCTGTTAGTTGAGGACACACATCGCAAATAAGTTTCTGAGAATGCTTCTGTCTAGTTTTTATTTGAAGATATTTCCTTTCTCACCATAGGCCTGAAAGCGTTTGAAATGTCCGTTTGCAGATACTACAGAAAGAGTGTTTCAAACCTGCACTATGAAAGGGAATGTTCAGTTCTGTGACTTGAATGCAAACATCACAAAGAAGTTCCTGAGAATGCTTCTCCCTAGATTTTATATGTAATCCCGTTTCCAACGAAATAATCAAAGCTATCCAAATATCCACTTTCAGATTCCACAAAAAGAGTGTTTCAAAACTGCTCTGTAAAAAGAAAGGTTCATCTCTGTTAGTTGAATACACACATCACAAACAAGTTTCTGAGAATGCTTCTGTCTATTTTTTATGGGAAGATATTTCCTTTTTTAAGATAGGCCTCAAAGCGCTGCAAATGTCCACTTCCAAATATTACAAAAAGAGTGTTTCAAACCTGCTCTGTGAAGGGAAGTGTTCACCTCTATGAGATGAATGCAAACATCACAGAGAAGTTTCTGAGAATGCTTCTGTCTTGATTTTATATGAAGATATTCCCGTTTCCAACGAAACCTTCAAATCTATCCAAATATCCACTTGCAGATTCTACAAAAAGAGTGTTTCCAAAATGTTTTATCAAAACAAAGGTTCAACTCTGTTAGTTGAGGACACACATCGCAAATAAGTTTCTGAGAATGCTTCTGTCTAGTTTCTATTTGAAGATATTTCCTTTCTCACCGTAGGCCTGAAAGTGCTTGAAATGTCCGTTTGCAGATACTACAGAAAGAGTGTTTCAAACATGATCTATGAAAGGGAATGTTCAGTTCTGTGACTTGAATGCAAGCATCACAAAGAAGTTCCTGAGAATGCTTCTCTCTAGATTTTATATGTAATCCCGTTTCCAACGAAATCCTCAAAGCTATCCAAATATCTACTTTCAGATTCCACAAAAAGAGTGTTTCAAAACTGCTGTGTAAAAAGAAAGGCTCATCTCTGTTAGTTGAATACACACATCACAAACAAGTTTCTGAGAATGCTTCTGTCTAGTTTTTATGGGAAGATATTTCCTTTTTCAGCATAGGCCTCAAAGCGCTCCAAATGTCCACTTCCATGTAGTGCACAGAGTGTTTCAAACCTGCTCTATAAAAGGGAACATTCTACTCTGTGACATGAATGAAAACATCTCAAAGCAGTTTCTGAGAATGCTTCCGTCTAGATTTTATATGAAGATATTCCCGTTTCCAAGGAAATCTTCCTATCTAAGTATCAACTTGCAGATTCTACTAAAGGAATGTTTCCAAAATGCTGTATCCACACAAAGGTTCAACTCCGTTAATTGAGGACATACAGCACAAAGAAGTTTCTGAGAATGCTTCTGTCTAGATTTTATATGAAGATATCCCGTGTCCAACGAAATCCTCAATGGTAGCAAAATATCCACTTGCAGATTCTACAAAAAGAGTGCTTCAAAACTGCTCAATCAAAAGGAAGGTTCAACTCTGTTACTTGAGTACATACATCACAAGAAAGATTCTGAGAATGCTTCTGTCTGGTTTTTAGGAGAAGATATCTCCTTTTTCACCATAAGCTTCAAAGCGCTGCCAATGTCCACTTCCAAATATTACAAAAAGAGTATTTCAAACCAGCTCTATGAAAGGAAGTGTTCAACTCTATGAGTTGAATGCAAACATCACAGAGAAGTTTCTGAGAATGCTTCTGTCTTGATTTTATATGAAGATATTCCCGTTTCCAACGAAACCTTCAAACCTATCCAAATATCCACCTGCAGATCCTACAAAAAGAGTGTTTCCAAAATGCTGTATCAAAACAAAGGTTCAACTCTGTTAGTTGAGAACACACATCGCAAATAAGTTTCTGAGAATGCTTCTGTCTAGTTTTTATTTGAAGATATTTCCTTTTTCACCACAGGCCTGAAAGCGCTTGAAACGTCCGCTTGCAGATACTACAGAAAGAGTGTTTCAAACCTGCTCTATGAAAGGGAATGTTCAGTTCTGTGACTTGAATGCAAACATCACAAAGAAGTTCCTGAGAATGCTTCTCCCTACATTTTATATGTAATCCCGTTTCCAACGAAATCCTCAAAGCTATCCAAATATCCACTTTCAGATTCCACAAAAAGAGTGTTTCAAAACTGCTCTGTAAAAAGAAAGGTTCATCTCTGTTAGTTGAATACACACATCACAAACAAGTTTCTGAGAATGCTTCTGTCTAGTTTTTATGGGAAGATATTTCCTTTTTCAACATAGGCCTCAAAGCGCTCCAAATGTCCACTTCCAAGTAGTGCACAGAGTTTTTCAAACCTGCTCTATGAAAGGAAGTGTTCAACTCTATGAGTTGAATGCAAACATCACAGAGAAGTTTCTGAGAATGCTTCTGTCTTTATTTTATATGAAGATATTCCCGTTTCCAACGAAACCTTCAAAGCTATCCAAATATCCACTTGCAGATCCTACAAAAAGAGTGTTTCCAAAATGCTGTATCAAAACAATTGTTCAACTCTGTTAGTTGAGAACACACATCGCAAATAAGTTTCTGAGAATGCTTCTGTCTAGTTTTTATTTGAAGATATTTCCTTTTTCACCACAGGCCTGAAAGCGCTTGAAACGTCCGCTTGCAGATACTACAGAAAGAGTGTTTCAAACATGCTCTATGAAAGGGAATGTTCAGTTCTGTGACTTGAATGCAAACATCACAAAGAAGTTCCTGAGAATGCTTCTCCCTAGATTTTATATGTAATCCCGTTTCCAACGAAATCCTCAAAGCTATCCAAATATCCACTTTCAGATTCCACAAAAAGAGTGTTTCAAACCTGCTCTGTAAAAAGAAAGGTTCATCTCTGTTAGTTGAATATACACATCACAAATAAGTTTCTGAGAATGCTTCTGTCTAGTTTCTATGGGAAGATATTTCCTTTTTCAACATAGGCCTCAAAGCGCTCCAAATGTCCACTTCCAGGTAGTGCACAGAGTGTTTCAAACCTGCTCTATAAAAGGGAACATTCTACTCTGTGACTTGAATGAAGACATCACAAAGCAGTTTCTGAGAATGCTTCCGTCTAGATTTTATATGAAGATATTCCCGTTTCCAAGGAAATCTTCCTAGCTATCTAAATATCAACTTGCAGATTCTACTAAAGGAATGTTTCCAAAATGCTGTATCCACACAAAGGTTCAACTCTGTTAATTGAGGACATACAGCACAAAGAAGTTTCTGAGAATGCTTCTGTCTAGATTTTATATGAAGATATCCCGTTTCCAAAGAAATCCTCAAATGTATCCAAATATCTACTTCCAGATTCTACAAAAAGACTGTTTCAAAACGGCTCTGTCAAAAGTAAGGTTCAACTCTGTTACTTGAGTACACACATCACAAGGAAGTTTCTGAGAATGCTTCTGTCTGGTTTTTAGGAGAAGATATTTCCTTTTTCAACATAGGCCTCAAAGCGCTGCAAATGGCCACTTCCAAATATTACAAAAAGAGTGTTTCAAACCTGCTGTATGAAGGGAAGTGTTCAACTCTATGAGTTGAATGCAAACATCACAAAGAAGTTTCTGAGAATGCTTCTGTCTTGATTTTATATGAAGATATTCCCGTTTCCAACGAAACCTTCAAAGCTATCCAAATATCCACCTGCAGATCCTACAAAAAGAGTGTTTCCAAAATGCTGTATCAAAACAAAGGTTCAACTCTGTTAGTTGAGAACACACATCGCAAATAAGTTTCTGAGAATGCTTCTGTCTAGTTTTTATTTGAAGATATTTCCTTTTTCACCACAGGCCTGAAAGCGCTTGAAACGTCCGGTTGCAGATACTACAGAAAGAGTGTTTCAAACCTGCTCTATGAAAGGGAATGTTCAGTTCTGTGACTTGAATGCAAACATCACAAAGAAGTTCCTGAGAATGCTTCTCCCTAGATTTTATATGTAATCCCGTTTCCAACGAAATCCTCAAAGCTATCCAAATATCCACTTTCAGATTCCACAAAAAGAGTGTTTCAAAACTGCTCTGTAAAAAGAAAGGTTCATCTCTGTTAGTTGAATACACACATCACAAACAAGTTTCTGAGAATGCTTCTGTCTAGTGTTTATGGGAAGATATTTCCTTTTTCAACATAGGCCTCAAAGCGCTCCAAATGTCCACTTCCAGGTAGTGCAGAAAGAATGTCTCAAACCTGCTCTATAAAAGGGAACATTCTACTCTGTGACTTGAATGAAACATCACAAAGCAGTTTCTGAGAATGCTTCCGTCTAGATTTTATATGAAGATATTCCCGTTTCCAACGAAACCTTCAAAGCTATCCAAATATCAACTTGCAGATCCTACAAAAAGAGTGTTTCCAAAATGCTGTATCAAAACAAAAGTTCAACTCTGTTAGTTGAGAACACACATCGCAAATAAGTTTCTGAGAATGCTTCTGTCTAGATTTTATTTGAAGATATTTCCTTTTTCACCACAGGCCTGAAAGCGCTTGAAACGTCCACTTGCAGATACTACAAAAAGACTGTTTCAAAACGGCTCTGTCAAAAGTAAGGTTCAACTCTGTTACTTGAGTACACACATCACAAGGAAGTTTCTGAGAATGCTTCTCTCTAGATTTTATATGTAATCCCGTTTCCAACGAAATCCTCAAAGCTATCCAAATATCCACTTTCAGATTCCACAAAAAGAGTGTTTCAAAACTGCTCTGTAAAAAGAAAGGTTCATCTCTGTTAGTTGAATACACACATCACAAACAAGTTTCTGAGAATGCTTCTATCTAGTTTTTATGGGAAGATATTTCCTTTTTCAACATAGGCCTCAAAGCGCTCCAAATGTCCACTTCCAGGTAGTGCAGAAAGAGTGTTTCAAACCTGCTCTATAAAAGGGAATATTCACCTCTGTGACTTGAATGCAAACATCACAAAGCACTTTCTGAGAATCCTTCCGTCTAGATTTTATATGAAGATATTCCCGTTTGCAAGGAAATCTTCCTAGCTATCTAAATATCAACTTGCAGATTCTACTAAAGGAATGTTTCCAAAATGCCGTATGGAAACAAAGGTTCAACTCTGTTAATTGAGGACATACAGCACAAAGAAGTGTCTGAGAATGCTTCTGTCTAGATTTTATATGAAGATATCCCGTGTCCAACGAAATCCTCAAAGGTATCAAAATATCCACTTGCAGATTCTACAAAAAGAGTGCTTCAAAACTGCTCTGTCAAAAGGAAGGTTCAACTCTGTTACTTGAGTACACACATCACAAGAAAGATTCTGAGAATGCTTCTGTCTGGTATTTAGGAGAAGATATCTCCTTTTTCACCATAAGCTTCAAAGCGCTGCCATTGTCCACTTCCAAATATTACAAAAAGAGTATTTCAAACCAGCTCTATGAAAGGATTTGTTCAACTCTATGAGTTGAATGCAAACATCACAGAGAAGTTTCTGAGAATGCTTCTGTCTTGATTTTATATGAAGATATTCCCGTTTCCAACGAAACCTTCAAAGCTATCCAAATATCCACCTGCAGATTCTACAAAAAGAGTGTTTCCAAAATGCTGTATCAAAACAAAGGTTCAACTCTGTTAGTTGAGGACACACATCGCAAATAAGTTTCTGAGAATGCTTCTGTCTAGTTTTTATTTGAAGATATTTCCTTTTTCACCACAGGCCTGAAAGCGCTTGAAACGTCCGCTTGCAGATACTACAGAAAGAGTGTTTCAAACCTGCTCTATGAAAGGGAATGTTCAGTTCTGTGACTTGAATGCAAACATCACAAAGAAGTTCCTCAGAATGCTTCTCCCTAGATTCTATATGTAATCCCGTTTCCAACGAAATCCTCAAAGCTATCCAAATATCCACTTTCAGATTCCACAAAAAGAGTGTTTCAAAACTGCTCTGTAAAAAGAAAGGTTCATCTCTGTTAGTTGTATACACACATCACAAACAAGTTTCTGAGAATGCTTCTGTCTAGTTTTTATGGGAAGATATTTCCTTTTTCAACATAGGCCTCAAAGCGCTCCAAATGTCCACTTCCAGGTAGTGCACAGAGTGTTTCAAACCGGCTCTGTGAAAGGAAGTCTTCAACTCTATGAGTTGAATGCAAACATCACAGAGAAGTTTCTGAGAATGCTTCTGTCTTGATTTTATATGAAGATATTCCCGTTTCCAACGAAACCTTAAAAGCTATCCAAATATCCACCTGCAGATCCTACAAAAAGAGTGTTTCCAAAATGCTGTATCCACACAAAGGTTCAACTCTGTTAGTTGAGGACACACATCGCAAATAAGTTTCTGAGAATGCTTCCGTCTAGTTTTTATTTGAAGATATTTCCTTTTTCTCCACAGGCCTGAAAGCGCTTGAAACGTCCGCTTGCAGATACTACTGAAAGAGAGTTTCAAACCTGCTCTATGAAAGGGAATGTTCAGTTCTGTGACTTGAATGCAAACATCACAAAGAAGTTCCTGAGAATGCTTCTCTCTAGAATTTATATGTAATCCCGTTTCCAACGAAATCCTCAAAGCTATCCAAATATCCACTTTCAGATTCCACAAAAAGAGTGTTTCAAAACTGCTCTGTAAAAAGAAAGGTTCATCTCTGTTAGTTGAATACACACATCACAAACAAGTTTCTGAGAATGCTTCTGTCTAGTTTTTATGGGAAGATATTTCCTTTTTCAACATAGGCCTCAAAGCGCTCTAAATGTCCACCTCCAGGTAGTGCAGAAAGAGTGTTTCAAACCTGCTCTATAAAAGGGAATATTCAACTCTGTGACTTGAATGCAAACATCACAAAGCACTTTCTGAGAATGCTTCCGTCTAGATTTTATGTGAAGATATTCCCGTTTCCAAGGAAATCTTCCTAGCTATCTAAATATCAACTTGCAGATTCTACTAAAGGAACGTTTCCAAAATGCTGTATCCAAACAAAGGTTCAACTCTGTTAATTGAAGACATACAGCACAAAGAAGTTTCTGAGAATGCTTCTGTCTAGATTTTATATGAAGATATCCCGTTTCCAAAGAAATCCTCAAAGGTATCCAAATATCTACTTGCAGATTCTACAAAAAGAGTGTTTCAAAACGGCTCTGTCAAAAGGAAGGTTCAACTCGGTTACTTGAGTACACACATTACAAGGAAGTTTCTGAGAATGCTTCTGTCTGGTTTTTAGGAGAAGATATTTCCTTTTTCAACATAGGCCTCAAAGCGCTGCAAATGTCCACTTCCAAATATTACAAAAAGAGTGTTTCAAACCTGCTCTATGAAGGGAAGTGTTCACCTCTATGAGTTGAATGCAAACATCACAGAGAAGTTTCTGAGAATGCTTCTGTCTTGATTTTATATGAAGATATTCCCGTTTCCAACGAAACCTTCAAAGCTATCCGAATATCCACCTGCAGATTCTACAAAAACAGTGTTTCCAAAATGTTGTATCAATAGAAAGGTTCAACTCTGTTAGTTGAGGACACACATCGCAAATATGTTTCTGAGAATGCTTCTGTCTGGTTTTTATTTGAAGATATTTCCTGTCTCACCATAGGCCTGAAAGCGCTTGGAATGTCCGTTTGCAGATACTACAGAAAGAGTGTTTCAAACCTGCTCTATGAAAGGGAATGTTCAGTTCTGTGACTTGAATGCAAACATCACAAAGAAGTTCCTGAGAATGCTTCTCTCTAGGTTTTATATGTAATCCCTTTTCCAACGAAATCCTCAAAGCCATCCAAATATCTACTTTCAGACTCCACAAAAAGAGTGTTTCAAAACTGCTCTGTAAAAAGAAAGGTTCATCTCTGTTAGTTGAATACACACATCACAAACAAGTTTCTGAGAATGCTTCTGTCTAGTTTTTATGGGAAGATATTTCCTTTTTCAACATAGGCCTCAAAGCGCACCCAATGTCCACTTCCAGGTAGTGCACAGAGTGTTTCAAACCTGCTCTATAAAAGGGAACATTCTACTCTGTGACTTGAATGAAGACATCACAAAGCAGTTTCTGAGAATGCTTCCGTCTAGATTTTATATGAAGATATTCCCGTTTCCAAGGAAATCTTCCTAGCTATCTAAATATCAACTTGCAGATTCTACTAAAGGAATGTTTCCAAAATGCTGTATCCACACAAAGGTTCAACTCTGTTAATTGAGGACCTACAGCACAAAGAAGTTTCTGAGAATGCTTCTGTCTAGATTTTATATGAAGATATCCCGTTTCCAAAGAAATCCTCAAAGGTATCCAAATATCTACTTCCAGATTCTACAAAAAGGCTGTTTCAAAACGGCTCTGTCAAAAGTAAGGTTCAACTCTGTTACTTGAGTACACACATCACAAGGAAGTTTCTGAGAATGCTTCTGTCTGGTTTTTAGGAGAAGATATTTCCTTTTTCAACATAGGCCTCAAAGCGCTGCAAATGTCCACTTCCAAATATTACAAAAAGAGTGTTTAAAACCTGCTGTATGAAAGGAAGTGTTCAACTCTATGAGTTGAATGCAAACATCACAGAGAAGTTTCTGAGAATGCTTCTGTCTTGATTTTATATGAAGATATTCCCGTTTCCAACGAAATCCTCAAAGCTATCCAAATATCCACTTTCAGATTCCAAAAAAAGAGTGTTTCAAAACTGCTCTGTAAAAAGAAAGGTTCATCTCTGTTAGTTGAATACACACATCACAAACAAGTTTCTGATAATGCTTCTGTCTAGTTTTTATGGGAAGATATTTCCTTTTTCATCATAGGCCTCAAAGCGCTCCAAATGTCCACTTCCAGGTAGTGCAGAAAGAGTGTCTCAAACCTGGTATATAAAAGGGAACATTCTACTCTGTGACTTCAATGAAAACATCACAAAGCAGTTTCTGAGAATGCTTCCGTCTAGATTTTATATGAAGATATTCCCGTTTCCAACGAAACCTTCAAAGCTATCCGAATATCCACCTGCAGATTCTACAAAAAGAGTGTTTCCAAAATGCCGTATCAAAACAAAGGTTCAACTCTGTTAGTTGAGAACACACATGGCAAATAAGTTTCTGAGAATGTTTCTGTCTAGTTTTTACTTGAAGATATTTCCTTTCTCACCATAGGCCTGAAAGCGCTTGAAACGTCAGCTTGCAGATACTACAGAAAGAGTGTTTCAAACATGCTCTATGAAAGGGAATGTTCAGTTCTGTGACTTGAATGCAAACATCAGAAAGAAGTTCCTGAGAATGCTTCTCTCTAGATTTTATATGTAATCCCGTTTCCAACGAAATCCTCAAAGCTATCCAAATATCCACTTTCAGATTCCACAAAAAGAGTGTTTCAAAACTGCTCTGTAAAAAGAAAGGTTCATCTCTGTTAGTTGAATACACACATCACAAACAAGCTTCTGAGAATGCTTCTGTCTAGTTTTTATGGGAAGATATTTCCTTTTTCAACATAGGCCTCAAAGCACTCCAAATGTCCACTTCCAGGTAGTGCAGAAAGAGTGTTTCAAACCTGCTCTATAAAAGGGAATATTCACCTCTGTGACTTGAATGCAAACATCACAAAGCACTTTCTGAGAATGCTTCCGTCTAGATTTTATATGAAGATATTCCCGTTTCCAAGGAAATCTTCCTAGCTATCTAAATATCAACTTGCATATCCTACTAAAGGAATGTTTCCAAAATGCCGTATCGAAACAAAGGTTCAACTCTGTTAATTGAGGACATACAGCACAAAGATGTGTCTGAGAATGCTTCTGTCTAGATTTTATATGAAGATATCCCGTGTCCAACGAAATCCTCAAAGGTATCAAAATATCCACTTGCAGATTCTACAAAAAGAGTGCTTCAAAACTGCTCTGTCAAAAGGAAGGTTCAACTCTGTTACTTGAGTACACACATCACAAGAAAGATTCTGAGAATGCTTCTGTCTGGTTTTTAGGAGAAGATATCTCCTTTTTCACCATAAGCTTCAAAGCGCTGCCAATGTCCACTTCCAAATATTACAAAAAGAGTATTTCAAACCAGCTCTATGAAAGGAATTGTTCAACTCTATGAGTTGAATGCAAACATCACAGAGAAGTTTCTGAGAATGCTTCTGTCTTGATTTTATATGAAGATATTCCCGTTTCCAACGAAACCTTCAAAGCTATCCAAATATCCACCTGCAGATCCTACAAAAAGAGTGTTTCCAAAATGCTGTATCAAAACAAAGGTTCAACTCTGTTAGTTGAGAACACACATCGCAAATAAGTTTCTGAGAATGCTTCTGTCTAGTTTTTATTTGAAGATACTTCCTTTTTCGCCACAGGCCTGAAAGCGCTTGAAACGTCCGCTTGCAGATACTACAGAAAGAGTGTTTCAAACCTGCTCTATGAAAGGGAATGTTCAGTTCTGTGACTTGAATGCAAACATCACAAAGAAGTTCCTGAGAATGCTTCTCTCTAGATTTTATATGTAATCCCGTTTCCAACGAAATCCTCAAAGCTATCCAAATATCCACTTTCAGATTCCACAAAAAGAGTGTTTCAAAACTGCTCTGTAAAAAGAAAGGTTCATCTCTGTTAGTTGAAGACACACATCACAAAGAAGTTTCTGAGAATGCTTCTGTCTAGTTTTTATGGGAAGATATTTCCTTTTTCAACATAGGCCTCAAAGCGCTCTAAATGTCCACCTCCAGGTAGTGCAGAAAGAGTGTTTCAAACCTGCTCTATAAAAGGGAATATTCAACTCTGTGACTTCAATGAAAACATCACAAAGCACTTTCTGAGAATGCTTCCGTCTAGATTTTATGTGAAGATATTCCCGTTTCCAACGAAACCTTCAAAGCTATCTAAATATCAACTTGCAGATTCTACTAAAGGAACGTTTCCAAAATGCTGTATCCAAACAAAGGTTCAACTCTGTTAATTGAAGACATACAGCACAAAGAAGTTTCTGAGAATGCTTCTGTCTAGATTTAATATGAAGATAGCCCGTTTCCAAAGAAATCCTCAAAGGTATCCAAATATCTACTTGCAGATTCTACAAAAAGAGTGTTTCAAAACGGCTCTGTCAAAAGGAAGGTTCAACTCTGTTACTTGAGTACACACATTACAAGGAAGTTTCTGAGAATGCTTCTGTCTGGTTTTTAGGAGAAGATATTTCCTTTTTCAACATAGGCCTCAAAGCGCTGCAAATGTCCACTTCCAAATATTACAAAAAGAGTGTTTCAAACCTGCTCTATGAAGGGAAGTGTTCACCTCTATGAGTTGAATGCAAACATCACAGAGAAGTTTCTGAGAATGCTTCTGTCTTGATTTTATATGAAGATATTCCCGTTTCCAACGAAACCTTCAAAGCTATCCGAATATCCACCTGCAGATTCTACAAAAAGAGTGTTTCCAAAATGTTGTATCAATAGAAAGGTTCAACTCTGTTAGTTGAGGACACACATCACAAATAAGTTTCTGAGAATGCTTCTGTCTGGTTTTTATTTGAAGATATTTCCTTTCTCACCATTGGCCTGAAAGCGCTTGGAATGTCCGTTTGCAGATACTACAGAAACAGTGTTTCAAACCTGCTCTATGAAAGGGAATGTTCAGTTCTGTGACTTGAATGCAAACATCACAAAGAAGTTCCTGAGAATGCTTCTCCCTAGATTTTATATGTAATCCCGTTTCCAACGAAATCCTCAAAGCTATCCAAATATCCACTTTCAGATTCCACAAAAAGAGTGTTTCAAAACTGCTCTGTAAAAAGAAAGGTTCATATCTGTTAGTTGAATACACACATCACAAACAAGTTTCTGAGAATGCTTCTGTCTAGTTTTTATGGGAAGATATTTCCTTTTTCAACATAGGCCTCAAAGCGCTCGAAATGTCCACTTCCAGGTAGTGCAGAAAGAGTGTTTCAAACCGGCTCTATGAAAGGAAGTCTTCAACTCTATGAGTTGAATGCAAACATCACAGAGAAGTTTCTGAGAATGCTTCTGTCTTGATTTTATATGAAGATATTCCCGTTTCCAACGAAACCTTAAAAGCTATCCAAATATCCACCTGTAGATCCTACAAAAAGAGTGTTTCCAAAATGCTGTATCAAAACAAAGGTTCAACTCTGTTAGTTGAGAACACACATGGCAAATAAGTTTCTGAGAATGCTTCTGTCTAGTTTTTACTTGAAGATATTTCCTTTCTCACCATAGGCCTGAAAGCGCTTGAAACGTCAGCTTGCAGATACTACAGAAAGAGTGTTTCAAACCGGCTCTATGAAAGGGAATGTTCAGTTCTGTTACTTGAATGCAAACATCACAAAGAAGTTCCTGAGAATGCTTCTCTCTAGGTTTTATATGTAATCCCGTTTCCAACGAAATCCTCAAAGCTATCCAAATATCCACTTTCAGATTCCACAGAAAGAGTGTTTCAAAACTGCTCTGTAAAAAGAAAGGTTCATCTCTGTTAGTTGAATACACACATCACAAAGAAGTTTCTGAGAATGCTTCTGTCTAGTTTTCATGGAAAGATATTTCCTTTTTCAACATAGGCCTCAAAGCGCTCCAAATGTCCACTTCCAGGTAGTGCAGAAAGAGTGTTTCAAACCTGCTCTATAAAAGGGAATATTCAACTCTGTGACTTGAATGCAAACATCACAAAGCACTTTCTGAGAATGCTTCCGTCTAGATTTTATATGAAGATATTCCCGTTTCCAAGGAAATCTTCCTAGCTATCTAAATATCAACTTGCAGATTCTACTAAAGGAATGTTTCCAAAATGCTGTATCCACACAAAGGTTCAACTCTGTTAATTGAGGACATACAGCACAAAGAAGTGTCTGAGAATGCTTCTGTGTAGATTTTATATAAAGATATCCCGTTTCCAAAGAAATCCTCAAAGGTATCCAAATATTTACTTCCAGATTCTACAAAAAGACTGTTTCAAAACGGCTCTGTCAAAAGTAAGGTTCAACTCTGTCACTTGAGTACACACATCACAAGGAAGTTTCTGAGAATGCTTCTGTCTGGTTTTTAGGAGAAGATATTTCCTTTTTCAACATAGGCCTCAAAGCGCTGCAAATGTCCACTTCCAAATATTACAAAAAGAGTGTTTAAAACCTGCTGTATGAAAGGAAGTGTTCAACTCTATGAGTTGAATGCAAACATCACAGAGAAGTTTCTGAGAATGCTTCTGTCTTGATTTTATATGAAGATATTCCCGTTTCCAACGAAATCTTCAAAGCTATCCAAATATCCACTTGCAGATTCTACAAAAAGAGTGTTTCCAAAATGTTGTATCAAAACAAAGGTTCAACTCTGTTAGTTGAGGACACACATCGCAAATAAGTTTCTGAGAATGCTTCTGTCTAGTTTTTATTTGAAGATATTTCCTTTCTCACCATAGGCCTGAAAGCGCTTGAAATGTCCGTTTGCAGATACTACAGAAAGAGTGTTTCAAACATGCTCTATGAAAGGGAATGTTCAGTTCTGTGACGTGAATGAAAACATCACAAAGAAGTTCCTGAGAATGCTTCTCTCTAGATTTTATATGTAATCCCGTTTCCAACGAAATCCTCAAAGCTATCCAAATATCCACTTTCAGATTCCACAAAAAGAGTGTTTCAAAACTGCTCTGTAAAAAGAAAGGTTCATCTCTGTTAGTTGAATACACACATCACAAACAAGTTTCTGATAATGCTTCTGTCTAGTTTTTATGGGAAGATATTTCCTTTTTCATCATAGGCCTCAAAGCGCTCCAAATGTCCACTTCCAGGTAGTGCAGAAAGAGTGTCTCAAACCTGGTATATAAAAGGGAACATTCTACTCTGTGACTTCAATGAAAACATCACAAAGCAGTTTCTGAGAATGCTTCCGTCTAGATTTTATATGAAGATATTCCCGTTTCCAACGAAACCTTCAAAGCTATCCGAATATCCACCTGCAGATTCTACAAAAAGAGTGTTTCCAAAATGCCGTATCAAAACAAAGGTTCAACTCTGTTAGTTGAGAACACACATGGCAAATAAGTTTCTGAGAATGTTTCTGTCTAGTTTTTACTTGAAGATATTTCCTTTCTCACCATAGGCCTGAAAGCGCTTGAAACGTCAGCTTGCAGATACTACAGAAAGAGTGTTTCAAACATGCTCTATGAAAGGGAATGTTCAGTTCTGTGACTTGAATGCAAACATCAGAAAGAAGTTCCTGAGAATGCTTCTCTCTAGATTTTATATGTAATCCCGTTTCCAACGAAATCCTCAAAGCTATCCAAATATCCACTTTCAGATTCCACAAAAAGAGTGTTTCAAAACTGCTCTGTAAAAAGAAAGGTTCATCTCTGTTAGTTGAATACACACATCACAAACAAGCTTCTGAGAATGCTTCTGTCTAGTTTTTATGGGAAGATATTTCCTTTTTCAACATAGGCCTCAAAGCGCTCCAAATGTCCACTTCCAGGTAGTGCAGAAAGAGTGTTTCAAACCTGCTCTATAAAAGGGAATATTCACCTCTGTGACTTGAATGCAAACATCACAAAGCACTTTCTGAGAATGCTTCCGTCTAGATTTTATATGAAGATATTCCCGTTTCCAAGGAAATCTTCCTAGCTATCTAAATATCAACTTGCATATCCTACTAAAGGAATGTTTCCAAAATGCCGTATCGAAACAAAGGTTCAACTCTGTTAATTGAGGACATACAGCACAAAGATGTGTCTGAGAATGCTTCTGTCTAGATTTTATATGAAGATATCCCGTGTCCAACGAAATCCTCAAAGGTATCAAAATATCCACTTGCAGATTCTACAAAAAGAGTGCTTCAAAACTGCTCTGTCAAAAGGAAGGTTCAACTCTGTTACTTGAGTACACACATTACAAGAAAGATTCTGAGAATGCTTCTGTCTGGTTTTTAGGAGAAGATATCTCCTTTTTCACCATAAGCTTCAAAGCGCTGCCAATGTCCACTTCCAAATATTACAAAAAGAGTATTTCAAACCAGCTCTATGAAAGGAATTGTTCAACTCTATGAGTTGAATGCAAACATCAGAGAGAAGTTTCTGAGAATGCTTCTGTGTTGATTTTATATGAAGATATTCCCGTTTCCAACGAAACCTTCAAAGCTATCCAAATATCCACCTGCAGATCCTACAAAAAGAGTGTTTCCAAAATGCTGTATCAAAACAGAGGTTCAACTCTGTTAGTTGAGGACACACATCGCAAATAAGTTTCTGAGAATGCTTCTGTCTAGTTTTTATTTGAAGAGATTTCCTTTTTCACCACAGGCCTGAAAGCCCTTGAAACGTCCGCTTGCAGATACTACAGAAAGAGTGTTTCAAACCTGCTCTATGAAAGGGAATGTTCAGTTCTGTGACTTGAATGCAAACATCACAAAGAAGTTCCTGAGAATGCTTCTCCCTAGATTTTATATGTAATCCCGTTTCCAACGAAATCCTCAAAGCTATCCAAATATCCACTTTCAGATTCCACAAAAAGAGTGTTTCAAAACTGCTCTGTAAAAAGAAAGGTTCATCTCTGTTAGTTGAATACACACATCACAAACAAGTTTCTGAGAATGCTTCTGTCTAGTTTTTATGGGAAGATATTTCCTTTTTCATCATAGGCCTCAAAGCGCTCCAAATGTCCACTTCCAGGTAGTGCAGAAAGAGTGTCTCAAACCTGGTATATAAAAGGGAACATTCTACTCTGTGACTTCAATGAAAACATCACAAAGCAGTTTCTGAGAATGCTTCCGTCTAGATTTTATATGAAGATATTCCCGTTTCCAACGAAACCTTCAAAGCTATCCGAATATCCACCTGCAGATTCTACAAAAAGAGTGTTTCCAAAATGCCGTATCAAAACAAAGGTTCAACTCTGTTAGTTGAGAACACACATGGCAAATAAGTTTCTGAGAATGCTTCTGTCTATTTTTTACTTGAAGATATTTCCTTTCTCACCACAGGCCTGAAAGCGCTTGAAACGTCAGCTTGCAGATACTACAGAAAGAGTGTTTCAAACATGCTCTATGTAAGGGAATGTTCAGGTCTGTGACTTGAATGCAAACATCACAAAGAAGTTCCTGAGAATGCTTCTCTCTAGGTTTTATATGTAATCCCGTTTCCAACGAAATCCTCAATGCTATCCAAATATCCACTTTCAGATTCTACAAAAAGAGTGTTTCAAAACTGCTCTGTAAAAAGAAAGGTTCATCTCTGTTAGTTGAATACACACATCACAAACAAGTTTCTGAGAATGCTTCTGTCTAGTTTTTATGGGAAGATATTTCCTTTTTCAACATAGGCCTGAAAGCGCTCCAAATGTCCACTTCCAGGTAGTGCAGAAAGAGTGTTTCAAACGTGCTCTATAAAAGGGAATATTCAACTCTGTGACTTGAATGCAAACATCACAAAGCACTTTCTGAGAATGCTTCCGTCTAGATTTTATATGAAGATATTCCCGTTTCCAAGGAAATCTTCCTAGCTATCTAAATATCAACTTGCAGATTCTACTAAAGGAATGTTTCCAAAATGCTGTATCCACACAAAGGTTCAACTCTGTTAATTGAGGACATACAGCACAAAGAAGTGTCTGAGAATGCTTCTGTGTAGATTTTATATAAAGATATCCCGTTTCCAAAGAAATCCTCAAAGGTATCCAAATATCTACTTCCAGATTCTACAAAAAGACTGTTTCAAAACGGCTCTGTCAAAAGTAAGGTTCAACTGTGTTACTTGAGTACACACATCACAAGGAAGTTTCTGAGAATGCTTCTGTCTGGTTTTTAGGAGAAGATATTTCCTTTTTCAACCTAGGCCTCAAAGCGCTGCAAATGTCCACTTCCAAATATTTCAAAAAGAGTGTTTAAAACCTGCTGTATGAAAGGAAGTGTTCAACTCTATGAGTTGAATGCAAACATCACAGAGAAGTTTCTGAGAATGCTTCTGTCTTGATTTTATATGAAAATATTCCCGTTTCCAACGAAACCTTCAAAGCTATCCAAATATCCACCTGCAGATCCTACAAAAAGAGTGTTTCCAAAATGCTGTATCAAAACAAAGGTTCAACTCTGTTAGTTGAGGACAAACATCGCAAATAAGTTTCTGAGAATGCTTCTGTCTAGTTTTTATTTGAAGAGATTTCCTTTTTCACCACAGGCCTGAAAGCGCTTGAAACGTCCGCTTGCAGATACTACAGAAAGAGTGTTTCAAACCTGCTCCATGAAAGGGAATGTTCAGTTCTGTGACTTGAATGCAAACATCACAAAGAAGTTCCTGAGAATGCTTCTCCCTAGATTTTATATGTAATCCCGTTTCCAACGCAATCCTCAAAGCTATCCAAATATCCACTTTCAGATTCCACAAAAAGAGTGTTTCAAAACTGCTCTGTAAAAAGAAAGGTTCATCTCTGTTAGTTGAATACACACATCACAAACAAGTTTCTGAGAATGCTTCTGTCTAGTTTTTATGGGAAGATATTTCCTTTTTCATCATAGGCCTCAAAGCGCTCCAAATGTCCACTTCCAGGTAGTGCAGAAAGAGTGTCTCAAACCTGGTATATAAAAGGGAACATTCTACTCTGTGACTTCAATGAAAACATCACAAAGCAGTTTCTGAGAATGCTTCCGTCTAGATTTTTTATGAAGATATTCCCGTTTCCAACGAAACCTTCAAAGCTATCCGAATATCCACCTGCAGATTCTACAAAAAGAGTGTTTCCAAAATGCCGTATCAAAACAAAGGTTCAACTCTGTTAGTTGAGAACACACATGGCAAATAAGTTTCTGAGAATGTTTCTGTCTAGTTTTTACTTGAAGATATTTCCTTTCTCACCACAGGCCTGAAAGCGCTTGAAACGTCAGCTTGCAGATACTACAGAAAGAGTGTTTCAAACATGCTCTATGTAAGGGAATGTTCAGGTCTGTGACTTGAATGCAAACATCACAAAGAAGTTCCTGAGAATGCTTCTCTCTAGGTTTTATATGTAATCCCGTTTCCAACGAAATCCTCAATGCTATCCAAATATCCACTTTCAGATTCTACAAAAAGAGTGTTTCAAAACTGCTCTGTAAAAAGAAAGGTTCATCTCTGTTAGTTGAATACACACATCACAAACAAGTTTCTGAGAATGCTTCTGTCTAGTTTTTATGGGAAGATATTTCCTTTTTCAACATAGGCCTGAAAGCGCTCCAAATGTCCACTTCCAGGTAGTGCAGAAAGAGTGTTTCAAACGTGCTCTATAAAAGGGAATATTCAACTCTGTGACTTGAATGCAAACATCACAAAGCACTTTCTGAGAATGCTTCCGTCTAGATTTTATGTGAAGATATTCCCGTTTCCAAGGAAATCTTCCTAGCTATCTAAATATCAACTTGCAGATTCTACTAAAGGAATGTTTCCAAAATGCTGTATCCACACAAAGGTTCAACTCTGTTAGTTGAGGACATACAGCACAAAGAAGTGTCTGAGAATGCTTCCGTCTAGATTTTATATGAAGATATCCCGTTTCCAAAGAAATCCTCAAAGGTATCCAAATATCTACTTCCAGATTCTACAAAAAGACTGTTTCAAAACTGCTCTGTCAAAAGTAAGGTTCAACTCTGTTACTTGAGTACACACATCACAAGGAAGTTTCTGAGAATGCTTCTGTCTGGTTTTTAGGAGAAGATATTTCCTTTTTCAACATAGGCCTCAAAGCGCTGCAAATGTCCACTTCTAAATATTACAAAAAGAGTGTTTCAAACCTGCTCTATGAAGGGAAGTGTTCACCCCTATGAGTTGAATGCAAACAAAACAGAGAATTTTCTGAGAATGCTTCTGTCTTGATTTTATATGAAGATATTCCCGTTTCCAACGAAACCTTCAAAGCTATCCAAATATCCACTTGCAGATTCTACAAAAAGAGTGTTTCCAAAATGTTGTATCAAAAGAAAGGTTCAACTCTGTTAGTTGAGGACACACATCGCAAATAAGTTTCTGAGAATGCTTCTGTCTAGTTTTTATTTGAATATATTTCCTTTCTCACCATAGGCCTGAAAGTGTTTGAAATGTCCGTTTGCAGATACTACAGAAAGAGTTTTTCAAACATGCTCTATGAAAGGGAATGTTCAGTTCTGTGACGTGAATGCAAACATCACAAAGATGTTCCTGAGAATCCTTCTCTCTAGATTTTATATGTAATCCCGTTTTCAATGAAATCCTCAAAGCTATCCAAATATCCACTTTCAGATTCCACAAAAAGAGTGTTTCAAAACTGCTCTGTAAAAAGAAAGGTTCATCTCTGTTAGTTGAATACACACATCACAAACAAGTTTCTGAGAATGCTTCTGTCTAGTTTTTATGGGAAGATATTTCCTTTTTCATCATAGGCCTCAAAGCGCTCCAAATGTCCACTTCCAGGTAGTGCAGAAAGAGTGTCTCAAGCCTGGTATATAAAAGGGAACATTCTACTCTGTGACTTCAATGAAAACATCACAAAGCAGTTTCTGAGAATGCTTCCGTCTAGATTTTATATGAAGATATTCCCGTTTCCAACGAAACCTTCAAAGCTATCCGAATATCCACCTGCAGATTCTACAAAAAGAGTGTTTCCAAAATGCCGTATCAAAACAAAGGTTCAACTCTGTTAGTTGAGAACACACATGGCAAATAAGTTTCTGAGAATGTTTCTGTCTAGTTTTTACTTGAAGATATTTCCTTTCTCACCATAGGCCTGAAAGCGCTTGAAACGTCAGCTTGCAGATACTACAGAAAGAGTGTATCAAACATGCTCTATGAAAGGGAATGTTCAGTTCTGTGACTTGAATGCAAACATCACAAAGAAGTTCCTGAGAATGCTTCTCTCTAGATTTTATATGTAATCCCGTTTCCAACGAAATCCTCAAAGCTATCCAAATATCCACTTTCAGATTCCACAAAAAGAGTGTTTCAAAACTGCTCTGTAAAAAGAAAGGTTCATCTCTGTTAGTTGAATACACACATCACAAACAAGTTTCTGAGAATGCTTCTGTCTAGTTTTTATTTGAAGATATTTCCTTTCTCACCACAGGCCTGAAAGCGCTTGAAACGTCCGTTTGCAGATACTACAGAAAGAGTGTTTCAAACCTGCTCTATGAAAGGGAATGTTCAGTTCTGTGACTTGAATGCAAACATCAGAAAGAAGTTCCTGAGAATGCTTCTCCCTAGCTTTTATATGTAATCCCGTTTCCAACGAAATCCTCAAAGCTATCCAAATATCCACTTTCAGATTCTACAAAAAGAGTGTTTCAAAACTGCTCTGTAAAAAGAAAGGTTCATCTCTGTTAGTTGAATACAGACATCACAAACAAGTTTCTGAGAATGCTTCTGTCTAGTTTCTATGGGAAGATACTTCCTTTTTCAACATAGGCCTCAAAGCGCTGCAAATGTCCACTTCCAGGTAGTGCACTGAGTGTTTCAAACCTGCTCTATAAAAGGGAACATTCTACTCTGTGACTTGAATGAAGACATCACAAAGCAGTTTCTGAGAATGCTTCCGTCTAGATTTTATGTGAAGATATTCCCGTTTCCAAGGAAATCTTCCTAGCTATCTAAATATCAACTTGCAGATTCTACTAAAGGAATGTTTCCAAAATGCTGTATCCACACAAAGGTTCAACTCTGTTAGTTGAGGACATACAGCACAAAGAAGTGTCTGAGAATGCTTCCGTCTAGATTTTATATGAAGATATCCCGTTTCCAAAGAAATCCTCAAAGGTATCCAAATATCTACTTCCAGATTCTACAAAAAGACTGTTTCAAAACTGCTCTGTCAAAAGTAAGGTTCAACTCTGTTACTTGAGTACACACATCACAAGGAAGTTTCTGAGAATGCTTCTGTCTGGTTTTTAGGAGAAGATATTTCCTTTTTCAACATAGGCCTCAAAGCGCTGCAAATGTCCACTTCTAAATATTACAAAAAGAGTGTTTCAAACCTGCTCTATGAAGGGAAGTGTTCACCCCTATGAGTTGAATGCAAACATCACAGAGAATTTTCTGAGAATGCTTCTGTCTTGATTTTATATGAAGATATTCCCGTTTCCAACGAAACCTTCAAAGCTATCCAAATATCCACTTGCAGATTCTACAAAAAGAGTGTTTCCAAAATGTTGTATCAAAAGAAAGGTTCAACTCTGTTAGTTGAGGACACACATCGCAAATAAGTTTCTGAGAATGCTTCTGTCTAGTTTTTATTTGAATATATTTCCTTTCTCACCATAGGCCTGAAAGTGTTTGAAATGTCCGTTTGCAGATACTACAGAAAGAGTTTTTCAAACATGCTCTATGAAAGGGAATGTTCAGTTCTGTGACGTGAATGCAAACATCACAAAGATGTTCCTGAGAATGCTTCTCTCTAGATTTTATATGTAATCCCGTTTTCAATGAAATCCTCAAAGCTATCCAAATATCCACTTTCAGATTCCACAAAAAGAGTGTTTCAAAACTGCTCTGTAAAAAGAAAGGTTCATCTCTGTTAGTTGAATACACACATCACAAACAAGTTTCTGAGAATGCTTCTGTCTAGTTTTTATGGGAAGATATTTCCTTTTTCATCATAGGCCTCAAAGCGCTCCAAATGTCCACTTCCAGGTAGTGCAGAAAGAGTGTCTCAAACCTGGTATATAAAAGGGAACATTCTACTCTGTGACTTCAATGAAAACATCACAAAGCAGTTTCTGAGAATGCTTCCGTCTAGATTTCATATGAAGATATTCCCGTTTCCAACGAAACCTTCAAAGCTATCCGAATATCCACCTGCAGATTCTACAAAAAGAGTGTTTCCAAAATGCCGTATCAAAACAAAGGTTCAACTCTGTTAGTTGAGAACACACATGGCAAATAAGTTTCTGAGAATGTTTCTGTCTAGTTTTTACTTGAAGATATTTCCTTTCTCACCATAGGCCTGAAAGCGCTTGAAACGTCAGCTTGCAGATACTACAGAAAGAGTGTATCAAACATGCTCTATGAAAGGGAATGTTCAGTTCTGTGACTTGAATGCAAACATCACAAAGAAGTTCCTGAGAATGCTTCTCTCTAGATTTTATATGTAATCCCGTTTCCAACGAAATCCTCAAAGCTATCCAAATATCCACTTTCAGATTCCACAAAAAGAGTGTTTCAAAACTGCTCTGTAAAAAGAAAGGTTCATCTCTGTTAGTTGAATACACACATCACAAACAAGTTTCTGAGAATGCTTCTGTCTAGTTTTTATTTGAAGATATTTCCTTTCTCACCACAGGCCTGAAAGCGCTTGAAACGTCCGTTTGCAGATACTACAGAAAGAGTGTTTCAAACCTGCTCTATGAAAGGGAATGTTCAGTTCTGTGACTTGAATGCAAACATCAGAAAGAAGTTCCTGAGAATGCTTCTCCCTAGCTTTTATATGTAATCCCGTTTCCAACGAAATCCTCAAAGCTATCCAAATATCCACTTTCAGATTCTACAAAAAGAGTGTTTCAAAACTGCTCTGTAAAAAGAAAGGTTCATCTCTGTTAGTTGAATACACACATCACAAACAAGTTTCTGAGAATGCTTCTGTCTAGTTTCTATGGGAAGATACTTCCTTTTTCAACATAGGCCTCAAAGCGCTGCAAATGTCCACTTCCAGGTAGTGCACTGAGTGTTTCAAACCTGCTCTATAAAAGGGAACATTCTACTCTGTGACTTGAATGAAGACATCACAAAGCAGTTTCTGAGAATGCTTCCGTCTAGATTTTATGTGAAGATATTCCCGTTTCCAAGGAAATCTTCCTAGCTATCTAAATATCAACTTGCAGATTCTACTAAAGGAATGTTTCCAAAATGCTGTATCCACACAAAGGTTCAACTCTGTTAGTTGAGGACATACAGCACAAAGAAGTGTCTGAGAATGCTTCCGTCTAGATTTTATATGAAGATATCCCGTTTCCAAAGAAATCCTCAAAGGTATCCAAATATCTACTTCCAGATTCTACAAAAAGACTGTTTCAAAACTGCTCTGTCAAAAGTAAGGTTCAACTCTGTTACTTGAGTACACACATCACAAGGAAGTTTCTGAGAATGCTTCTGTCTGGTTTTTAGGAGAAGATATTTCCTTTTTCAACATAGGCCTCAAAGCGCTGCAAATGTCCACTTCTAAATATTACAAAAAGAGTGTTTCAAACCTGCTCTATGAAGGGAAGTGTTCACCCCTATGAGTTGAATGCAAACATCACAGAGAATTTTCTGAGAATGCTTCTGTCTTGATTTTATATGAAGATATTCCCGTTTCCAACGAAACCTTCAAAGCTATCCAAATATCCACTTGCAGATTCTACAAAAAGAGTGTTTCCAAAATGTTGTATCAAAAGAAAGGTTCAACTCTGTTAGTTGAGGACACACATCGCAAATAAGTTTCTGAGAATGCTTCTGTCTAGTTTTTATTTGAATATATTTCCTTTCTCACCATAGGCCTGAAAGTGTTTGAAATGTCCGTTTGCAGATACTACAGAAAGAGTTTTTCAAACATGCTCTATGAAAGGGAATGTTCAGTTCTGTGACGTGAATGCAAACATCACAAAGATGTTCCTGAGAATGCTTCTCTCTAGATTTTATATGTAATCCCGTTTTCAATGAAATCCTCAAAGCTATCCAAATATCCACTTTCAGATTCCACAAAAAGAGTGTTTCAAAACTGCTCTGTAAAAAGAAAGGTTCATCTCTGTTAGTTGAATACACACATCACAAACAAGTTTCTGAGAATGCTTCTGTCTAGTTTTTATGGGAAGATATTTCCTTTTTCATCATAGGCCTCAAAGTGCTCCAAATGTCCACTTCCAGGTAGTGCACAGAGTGTTTCAAACCTGCTCTATGATAGGAAGTGTTCAACTCTATGAGTTGAAGGCAAACATCACAGAGAAATTTCTGAGAATGCTTCTGTCTTGATTTTATATGAGGATATTCCCGTTTCCAACGAAACCATCAAAGCTATCCAAATATCCACCTGCAAATCCTACAAAAGAGTGTTTCCAAAATGCTGTATCAAAACAAAGGTTCAACTCTGTTAATTGAGATCACACATCGCAAATAAGTTTCTGAGAATGCTTCTGTCTAGTTTTTATTTGAAGATATTTCCTTTTTCACCACAGGCCTGAAAGTGCTTGAAACGTCCGCTTGCAGATACTACAGAAAGAGTGTTTCAAACCTGCTCTATGAAAGGGAATGTTCAGTTCTGTGACTTGAATGCAAACATCAAAAAGAAGTTCCTGAGAATGCTTCTCCCTAGATTTTATATGTAATCCCGTTTCCAACGAAATCCTCAAAGCTATCCAAATATCCACTTTCAGATTCCACAAAAAGAGTGTTTCAAAACTGCTCTGTAAAAGGAAAGGTTCATCTCTGTTAGTTGAATACACACATCACAAACAAGTTGCTGAGAATGCTTCTGTCTAGTTTCTATGGGAAGATACTTCCTTTTTCAACATAGGCCCCAAAGCGCTCCAAATGTCCACTTCCAGGTAGTGCACTGAGTGTTTCAAACCTGCTCTATAAAAGGGAACATTCTACTCTGTGACTTGAATGAAGACATCACAAAGCAGTTTCTGAGAATGCTTCCGTCTATATTTTATGTGAAGATATTCCCGTTTCCAAGGAAATCTTCCTAGCTATCTAAATATCAACTTGCAGATTCTACTAAAGGAATGTTTCCAAAATGCTGTATCCACACAAAGGTTCAACTCTGTTAATTGAGGACATACAGCACAAAGAAGTTTCTGAGAATGCTTCTGTCTAGATTTTATATGAAGATATCCCGTGTCCAACGAAATCCTCAAAGGTATCAAAGTATCCACTCGCAGATTCTACAAAAAGAGTGCTTCAAACTGCTCTGTCAAAATGAAGGTTCAACTCTGTTACTTGAGTACACACATCAGAAGAAAGATTCTGAGAATGCTTCTGTCTGGTTTTTAGGAGACGATATCTCCTTTTTCACCATAGGCTTCAAAGCGCTGCCAATGTCCACTTCCAAATATTACAAAAAGAGTATTTCAAACCAGCTCTATGAAAGGAATTGTTCAACTCTATGAGTTGAATGCAAACGTCACAGAAAAGTTTCTGAGAATGCTTCTGTGTTGATTTTATATGAAGATATTCCCGTTTCCAACGAAACCTTCAAACCTATCCAAATATCCACCTGCAGATTCTACAAAAAGAGTGTTTCCATAATGCTGTAAAAAAAAAAGGTTCAACTCTGTTAGTTGAGAACACACATCGCAAATAAGTTTCTGAGAATGCTTCTGTCTAGTTTTTATTTGAAGATATTTCCTTTTTCACCACAGGCCTGATAGCGCTTGAAACGTCCACTTGCAGATACTACAGAAAGAGTGTTTCAAACCTGTTCTATGAGAGGGAATGTTCAGTTCTGTGACTTGAATGCAAACATCACAAAGAAGTTCCTGAGAATGCTTCTCCCTAGATTTTATATGTAATCCCGTTTCCAACGAAATCCTCAAAGCTATCCAAATATCCACTTTCAGATTCCACAAAAAGAGTGTTTCAAAACTGCTCTGTAAAAAGAAAGGTTCATCTCTGTTAGTTGAATACACACATCACAAACAAGTTTCTGAGAATGCTTCTGTCTAGTTTTGATGGGAAGATATTTCCTTTTTCAACATAGGCCTCAAAGCGCTCCAAATGTCCACTTCCAGGTAGTGCATAGAGTGTTTCAAACCTGCTCTATGAAAGGAAGTGTTCAACTCTATGAGTTGAAGGCAAACATCACAGAGAAGTTTCTGAGAATGCTTCTGTCTTGATTTTATATGAGGATATTCCCGTTTCCAACGAAACCTTCAGAGCTATCCAAATATCCACCTGCAGATCCTACAAAAAGAGTGTTTCCAAAATGCTGTATCAAAACAAAGGTTCAACTCTGTTAGTTGAGAACACACATCGCAAATAAGTTTCTGAGAATGCTTCTGTCTAGTTTTTATTTGAAGATATTTCCTTTTTCACCACAGGCCTGAAAGCGCTTGAAACGTCCGCTTGCAGATACTACAGAAAGAGTGTTTCAAACCTGCTGTATGAAAGGGAATGTTCAGTTCTGTGACTTGAATGCAAACATCACAAAGAATTTCCTGAGAATGCTTCTCCCTAGATTTTATATGTAATCCCGTTTCCAACGGTATCCTCAAAGCTGTCCAAATATCCACTTTCAGATTCCACAAAAAGAGTGTTTCAAAACTGCTCTGTAAAAAGAAAGGTTCATCTCTGTTAGTTGAATACACACATCACAAACAAGTTTCTGAAAATGCTTCTGTCTAGTTTCTATGGGAAGATACTTCCTTTTTCAACATAGGCCTCAAAGCGCTCCAAATGTCCACTTTCAGGTAGTGCACTGAGTGTTTCAAACCTGCTCTATAAAAGGGAAAATTCTACTCTGTGACTTGAATGAAGACATCACAAAGCAGTTTCTGAGAATGCTTCCGTCTAGATTTTATGTGAAGATATTCCCGTTTCCAAGGAAATCTTCCTAGCTATCTAAATATCAACTTGCAGATTCTACTAAAGGAGTGTTTCTAAAATGCTGTATGCACACAAAGGTTCAACTCTGTTAATTGAAGACATACAGCACAAAGAAGTTTCTGAGAATGCTTCTCTCTAGATTTTATATGCAGATATCCCGTTTCCAAAGAAATCCTCAAAGGTATCCAAATATCTACTTCCAGATGCTACAAAAAGACTGTTTCAAAACGGCTCTGTCAAAAGTAAGGTTCAACTCTGTTACTTGAGTACACACATCACAAGGAAGTTTCTGAGAATGCTTCTGTCTTGATTTTATATGAAGATATTACCGTTTCCAACGAAACCTTCAAAGCTATCCAAATATCCACTTGCAGATTCTACAAAAAGAGTGTTTCCAAAATGTTGTATCAAAAGAAAGGTTCAACTCTGTTAGTTGAGGACACACATCGCAAATAAGTTTCTGAGAATGCTTCTGTCTAGTTTTTATTTGAAGATATTTCCTTTCTCACCATAGGCCTGAAAGCGTTTGAAATGTCCGTTTGCAGATACTACAGAAAGAGTGTTTCAAACCTGCACTATGAAAGGGAATGTTCAGTTCTGTGACTTGAATGCAAACATCACAAAGAAGTTCCTGAGAATGCTTCTCCCTAGATTTTATATGTAATCCCGTTTCCAACGAAATAATCAAATTTATCCAAATATCCACTTTCAGATTCCACAAAAAGAGTGTTTCAAAACTGCTCTGTAAAAAGAAAGGTTCATCTCTCTTAGTTGAATACACACATCACAAACAAGTTTCTGAGAATGCTTCTGTCTAGTTTTTATGGGAAGATATTTCCTTTTTTAAGAGAGGCCTCAAAGCGCTGCAAATGTCCACTTCCAAATATTACAAAAAGAGTGTTTCAAACCTGCTCTGTGAAGGGAAGTGTTCACCTCTATGAGTTGAATGCAAACATCACAGAGAAGTTTCTGAGAATGCTTCTGTCTTGATTTTATATGAAGATATTCCCGTTTCCAACGAAACCTTCAAATCTATCCAAATATCCACTTGCAGATTCTACAAAAAGAGTGTTTCCAAAATGTTGTATCAAAACAAAGGTTCAACTCTGTTAGTTGAGGACACACATCGCAAATAAGTTTCTGAGAATGCTTCTGTCTAGTTTCTATTTGAAGATATTTCCTTTCTCACCGTAGGCCTGAAAGTGCTTGAAATGTCCGTTTGCAGATACTACAGAAAGAGTGTTTCAAACATGCTCTATGAAAGGGAATGTTCAGTTCTGTGACTTGAATGCAAGCATCACAAAGAAGTTCCTGAGAATGCTTCTCTCTAGATTTTATATGTAATCCCGTTTCCAACGAAATCCTCAAAGCTATCCAAATATCCACTTTCAGATTCCACAAAAAGAGTGTTTCAAAACTGCTGTGAAAAGAAAGATTCATCTCTGTTAGTTGAATACACGCATCACAAACAAGTTTCTGAGAATGCTTCTGTCTAGTTTTTATGGGAAGATATTTCCTTTTTCAGCATAGGCCTCAAAGCGCTCCAAATGTCCACTTCCATGTAGTGCACAGAGTGTTTCAAACCTGTTCTATAAAAGGGAACATTCTACTCTGTGACATGAATGAAAACATCTCAAAGCAGTTTCTGAGAATGCTTCCGTCTAGATTTTATATGAAGATATTCCCGTTTCCAAGGAAATCTTCCTATCTAAGTATCAACTTGCAGATTCTACTAAAGGAATGTTTCCAAAATGCTGTATCCACACAAAGGTTCAACTCCGTTAATTGAGGACATACAGCACAAAGAAGTTTCTGAGAATGCTTCTGTCTAGATTTTATATGAAGATATCCCGTGTCCAACGAAATCCTCAATGGTATCAAAATATCCACTTGCAGATTCTACAAAAAGAGTGCTTCAAAACTGCTCAATCAAAAGGAAGGTTCAACTCTGTTACTTGAGTACATACATCACAAGAAAGATTCTGAGAATGCTTCTGTCTGGTTTTTAGGAGAAGATATCTCCTTTTTCACCATAAGCTTCAAAGCGCTGCCAATGTCCACTTCCAAATATTACAAAAAGAGTATTTCAAACCAGCTCTATGAAAGGAAGTGTTCAACTCTATGAGTTGAATGCAAACATCACAGAGAAGTTTCTGAGAATGCTTCTGTCTTGATTTTATATGAAGATATTTCCGTTTCCAACGAAACCTTCAAACCTATCCAAATATCCACCTGCAGATCCTACAAAAAGAGTGTTTCCAAAATGCTGTATCAAAACAAAGGTTCAACTCTGTTAGTTGAGAACACACATCGCAAATAAGTTTCTGAGAATGCTTCTGTCTAGTTCTTATTTGAAGATATTTCCTTTTTCACCACATGCCTGAAAGCGCTTGAAACGTCCGCTTGCAGATACTACAGAAAGAGTGTTTCAAACCTGCTCTATGAAAGGGAATGTTCAGTTCTGTGACTTGAATGCAAACATCACAAAGAAGTTCCTGAGAATGCTTCTCCCTAGATTTTATATGTAATCCCGTTTCCAACGAAATCCTGAAAGCTATCCAAATATCCACTTTCAGATTCCACAAAAAGAGTGTTTCAAAACTGCTCTGTAAAAAGAAAGGTTCATTTCTGTTAGTTGAATACACACATCACAAACAAGTTTCTGAGAATGCTTCTGTCTAGTTTTTATGGGAAGATATTTCCTTTTTCAACATAGGCCTCAAAGCGCTCCAAATGTCCACTTCCAGGTAGTGCACAGAGTGTTTCAAACCGGCTCTATGAAAGGACGTGTTCAACTCTATGAGTTGAATGCAAACATTACAGAGAAGTTTCTGAGAATGCTTCTGTCTTTATTTTATATGAAGATATTCCCGTTTCCAACGAAACTTTCAAAGATATCCAAATATCCACCTGCAGATCCTACAAAAAGTGTGTTTCCAAAATGCTGTATCAAAACAATTGTTCAACTCTGTTAGTTGAGAACACACATCGCAAATAAGTTTCTGAGAATGCTTCTGTCTAGTTTTTATGGGAAGATATTTCCTTTTTCAACATAGGACTCAAAGCGCTCCAAATGTCCACCTCCAGGTAGTGCAGAAAGAGTGTTTCAAACCTGCTCTATGAAAGGGAATGTTCAGTTCTGTGACTTGAATGCAAACATCACAAAGAAGTTCCTGAGAATGCTTCTCCCTAGATTTTATATGTAATCCCGTTTCCAACGAAATCCTCAAAGCTATCCAATTATCCACTTTCAGATTCCACAAAAAGAGTGTTTCAAACCTGCTCTATAAAAAGAATGGTTCATCTCTGTTAGTTGAATATACACATCACAAATAAGTTTCTGAGAATGCTTCTGTCTAGTTTCTATGGGAAGATATTTCCTTTTTCAACATAGGCGTCAAAGCGCTCCCAATGTCCACTTCCAGGTAGTGCACAGAGTGTTTCAAACCTGCTCTATAAAAGGGAACATTCTACTCTGTGACTTGAATGAAGACATCACAAAGCAGTTTCTGAGAATGCTTCCGTCTAGATTTTATATGAAGATATTCCCGTTTCCAAGGAAATCTTCCTAGCTATCTAAATATCAACTTGCAGATTCTACTAAAGGAATGTTTCCAAAATGCTGTATCCACACAAAGGTTCAACTCTGTTAATTGAGGACATACAGCACAAAGAAGTTTCTGAGAATGCTTCTGTCTAGATTTTATACGAAGATATCCCGTTTCCAAAGAAATCCTCAAAGGTATCCAAATATCTACTTGCAGATTCTACAAAAAGACTGTTTCAAAACGGCTCTGTCAAAAGTAAGGTTCAACTCTGTTACTTGAGTACACACATCACAAGGAAGTTTCTGAGAATGCTTCTGTCTGGTTTTTAGGAGAAGATATTTCCTTTTTCAACATCGGCCTCAAAGCGCTGCAAATGTCCACTTCCAAATATTACAAAAAGAGTGTTTCAAACCTGCTGTATGAAGGGAAGTGTTCAACTCTATGAGTTGAATGCAAACATCACAGAGAAGTTTCTGAGAATGCTTCTGTGTTGATTTTATATGAAGATATTCCCGTTTCCAACGAAACCTTCAAAGCTATCCAAATATCCACCTGCAGATCCTACAAAAAGAGTGTTTCCAAAATGCTGTATCAAAACAAAGGTTCAACTCTGTTAGTTGAGAATACACACCGCAAATAAGTTTCTGAGAATGCTTCTGTCTAGTTCTTATTTGAAGATATTTCCTTTTTCACCACATGCCTGAAATCGCTTGAAACGTCCACTTGCAGATACTACAGAAAGAGTGTTTCAAACCTGCTCTATGAAAGGGAATGTTCAGTTCTGTGACTTGAATGCAAACATCACAAAGAAGTTCCTGAGAATGCTTCTCCCTAGATTTTATATGTAATCCCGTTTGCAACGAAATCCTCAAAGCTATCCAAATATCCACTTTCAGATTCCACAAAAAGAGTGTTTCAAACCTGCTCTGTAAAAAGAATGGGTCATCTCTGTTAGTTGAATATACACATCACAAATAAGTTTGTGAGAATGCTTCTGTCTAGTTTCTATGGGAAGATAATTCCTTTTTCAACATAGGCGTCAAAGCGCTCCAAATGTCCACTTCCAGGTAGTGCACAGAGTGTTTCAAACCTGCTCTATAAAAGGGAACATTCTACTCTGTGACTTGAATGAAGACATCACAAAGCAGTTTCTCAGAATGCTTCCGTCTAGATTTTATATGAAGATATTCCCGTTTCAAAGGAAATCTTCCTAGCTATCTAAATATCAACTTGCAGATTCTACTAAAGGAATGTTTCCAAAATGCTGTATCCACACAAAGGTTCAACTCTGTTAATTGAGGACATACAGCACAAAGAAGTGTCTGAGAATGCTTCTGTCTAGATTTTATACGAAGATATCCAGTTTCCAAAGAAATCCTCAAAGGTATCCAAATATCTACTTCCAGATTCTACAAAAAGACTGTTTCAATACGGCTCTGTCAAAAGTAAGGTTCAACTCTGTCACATGAGTACACACATCACAAGGAAGTTTCTGAGAATGCTTCTGTCTGGTTTTTAGGACAAGATATTTCCTTTTTCAACATAGGCCTCAAAGCGCTGCAAATGTCCACTTCCAAATATTACAAAAAGAGTGTTTCAAACCTGCTGTATGAAGGGAAGTGTTCAACTCTATGAGTTGAATGCAACCATCACAGAGAAGTTTCTGAGAATGCTTCTGTCTTGATTTTATATGAAGATATTCCCGTTTCCAACGAAACCTTCAAAGCTATCCAAATATCCACCTGCAGATCCTACAAAAAGAGTGTTTCCAAAATGCTGTATCAAAACAAAGGTTCAACTCTGTTAGTTGAGAACACACATCGCAAATAAGTTTCTGAGAATGCTTCTGTCTAGTTTTTATTTGAAGATATTTCCTTTTTCACCGCAGGCCTGAAAGCGCTTGAAACGTCCGGTTGCAGATACTACAGAAAGAGTGTTTCAAACCGGCTCTATGAAAGGGAATGTTCAGTTCTGTGACTTGAATGCAAACATCACAAAGAAGTTCCTGAGAATGCTTCTCCCTAGATTTTATATGTAATCCCGTTTCCAACGAAATCCTCAAAGCTATCCAAATATCCACTTTCAGATTCCACAAAAAGAGTGTTTCAAAACTGCTCTGTAAAAAGAAAGGTTCATCTCTGTTAGTTGAATACACACATCACAAACAAGTTTCTGAGAATGCTTCTGTCTAGTTTTTATGGGAAGATATATCCTTTTTCAACATAGGCCTCAAAGCGCTCCAAATGTCCACTTCCAGGTAGTGCAGAAAGAGTGTCTCAAACCTGGTATATAACAGGGAACATTCTACTCTGTGACTTGAATGAAAACATCACAAAGCAGTTTCTGGGAATGCTTCCGTCTAGATTTTATATGAAGATATTCCCGTTTCCAACGAAACCTTCAAAGATATCCGAATATCCACCTGCACATTCTACAAAAAGAGTGTTTCCAAAATGCCGTATCAAAACAAAGGTTCAACTCTGTTAGTTGAGAACACTCATGGCTAATAAGTTTCTGAGAATGCTTCTGTCTAGTTTTTACTTGAAGATATTTCCTTTCTCACCATAGGCCTGAAAGCGCTTGAAACGTCAGCTTGCAGATACTACAGAAAGAGTGTTTCAAACCTGCTCTATGAAAGGGAATGTTCAGTTCTGTGACTTGAATGCAAACATCACAAAGAAGTTCCTGAGAATGCTTCTCTCTAGGTTTTATATGTAATCCCGTTTCCAACGAAATCCTCAAAGCTATCCAAATATCCACTTTCAGATTCCAGAAAAAGAGTGTTTCAAAACTGCTCTGTAAAAAGAAAGGTTCATCTCTGTTATTTGAATACACACATCACAAACAAGTTTCTGAGAATGCTTCTGTCTAGTTTTTATGGAAAGATATTTCCTTTTTCAGCATAGGCCTCAAAGCGCTCCAAATGTCCACTTCCACGTAGTGCACAGAGTGTTTCAAACCTGCTCTACAAAAGGGAACATTCTACTCTGTGACATGAATGAAAACATCTCAAAGCAGTTTCTGAGAATGCTTCCGTCTAGATTTTATATGAAGATATTCCCGTTTCCAAGGAAATCTTCCTATCTAAGTATCAACTTGCAGATTCTACTAAAGGAGTGTTTCCAAAATGCTGTATCCACACAAAGGTTCAACTCTGTTAATTGAGGACATACAGCACAAAGAGGTTTCTGAGAATGCTTCTGTCTAGATTTTATATGAAGATATCCCGTGTCCAACGAAATCCTCAAAGGTATCAAAATATCCACTTGCAGATTCTACAAAAAGAGTACTTCAAAACTGCTCTGTCAAAACGAAGGTTCAACTCTGTTACTTGAGTACATACATCACAAGAAAGATTCTGAGAATGCTTCTGTCTGGTTCTTAGGAGAAGATATCTCGTTTTTCACCATAAGCTTCAAAGCGCTGCCAATGTCCACTTCCAAATATTACAAAAAGAGTATTTCAAACCAGCTCTATGAAAGGAAGTGTTCAACTCTATGAGTTGAATGCAAACATCACAGAGAAGTTTCTGAGAATGCTTCTGTCTTGATTTTATATGAAGTTATTCCCGTTTCCAACGAAACCTTCAAAGCTATCCAAATATCCACCTGCAGATCCTACAAAAAGAGTGTTTCCAAAATGCTGTATCAAAACAAAGGTTCAACTCTGTTATTTGAGAACACACATCACAAATAAGTTTCTGAGAATGCTTCTGTCTAGTTTTTATTTTAAGATATTTCCTTTTTCACCACAGGCCTGAAAGCACTTGAAACGTCCGCTTGCAGATACTACAGAAAGAGTGTTTCAAAGCTGCTCTATGAAAGGGAATGTTCAGTTCTGTGACTTGAATGCAAACATCACAAAGAATTTCCTGAGAATGCTTCTCCCTAGATTTTATATGTAATCCCGTTTCCAACGAAATCCTCAAAGCTATCCAAATATCCACTTTCAGATTCCACAAAAAGAGTGTTTCAAAACTGCTCTGTAAAAAGAAAGGTTCATCTCTGTTAGTTGAATACACACATCACAAACAAGTTTCTGAGAATGCTTCAGTCTAGTTTTTATGGGAAGATATTTCCTTTTTCAACATAGGCCTCAAAGCGCTCCAAATGTCCACTTCCAGGTAGTGCACAGAGTGTTTCAAACCGGCTCTATGAAAGGAAGTGTTCAACTCTATGAGTTGAATGCAAACATCACAGAGAAGTTTCTGAGAATGCTTCCGTCTTGATTTTATATGAATTTATTCCCGTTTCCAACGAAACCTTCAAAGCTATCCAAATATCCATCTGCAGATCCTACAAAAAGAGTGTTTCCAAAATGCTGTATCAAAACAATTGTTCAACTCTGTTAGTTGAGAACACACATCGCAAATAAGTTTCTGAGAATGCTTCTGTCTAGTTTTTATTTGAAGATATTTCCTTTTTCACCACAGTCCTGAAGGCGCTTGAAACGTCCGCTTGCAGATACTGCAGAAAGAGTGTTTCAAACCTGCTCTATGAAAGGGAATGTTCAGTTCTGTGACTTGAATGCAAACTTCACAAAGAAGTTCCTGAGATTGCTTCTCCCTAGATTTTATATGTAATCCCGTTTCCAACGAAATCCTCAAAGCTATCCAAATATCCACTTTCAGATTCCACAAAAAGAGTGTTTCAAAACTGCTCTGTAAAAACAAAGGTTCATCTCTGTTAGTTGAATATACACATCACAAATAAGTTTCTGAGAATGCTTCTGTCTAGTTTTTATGGGAAGATATTTCCTTTTTCAACATAGGCCTCAAAGCGTTCCAAATGTCCACTTCCAGGTAGTGCACAGAGTGTTTCAAACCTGCTCTATAAAAGGGAACATTCTACTCTGTGACTTGAATGAAGACATCACAAAGCAGTTTCTCAGAATGCTTCCGTCTAGATTTTATATGAAGATATTCCCGTTTCCAAGGAAATCTTCCTAGCTATCTAAATATCAACTTGCAGATTCTACTAAAGGAATGTTTCGAAAATGCTGTATCCACACAAAGGTTCAACGCTGTTAATTGAGGACATACAGCACAAAGAAGTTTCTGAGAATGCTTCTGTCTAGATTTTATATGAAGATATCCCGTTTCCAAAGAAATCCTCAAAGGTATCCAAATATCTACTTCCAGATTCTACAAAAAGAGTTTTTCAAAACTGCTCTGTCAAAAGTAAGGTTCAACTCTGTTACTTGAGTATACACATCACAAGGAAGTTTCTGAGAATGCCTCTGTCTGGTTTTTAGGAGAAGATATTTCCTTTTTCAACATAGGCCTCAAAGCGCTGCAAATGTCCACTTCCAAATATTACAAAAAGAGTGTTTCAAACCTGCTCTATGAAGGGAAGTGTTCAACACTATGAGTTGAATGCAAACATCACAGAGAAGTTTCTGAGAATGCTTCTGTCTTGATTTTATATGAAGATATTCCCGTTTCCAACGAAACCTTCAAAGCTATCCAAATATCCACTTGCAGATTCTACAAAAAGAGTGGTTCCAAAATGTTGTATCAAAACAAAGGTTCAACTCTGTTAGTTGAGGACACACATCGCAAATAAGTTTCTGAGAATGCTTCTGTCTAGTTTTTATTTGAAGATATTTCCTTTCTCACCATAGGCCTGAAAGCGCTTGAAACGTCCGTTTGCAGATACTACAGAAAGAGTGTTTCAAACATGCTCTATGAAAGGGAATGTTCAGTTCTGTGACTTGAATGCAAACATCACAAAAGAGTTCCTGAGAATGCTTCTCTCTAGATTTTATATGTAATCCCGTTTCCAACGAAATCCTCAAAGCTATCCAAATATCCACTTTCAGATTCCACAAAAAGAGTGTTTCAAAACTGCTCTGTAAAAAGAAAGGTTCATCGCTGTTAGTTGAATACACATATCACAAACAAGTTTCTGAGAATGCTTCTGTCTAGTTTTTATGGGAAGATATTTCCATTTTCAACATAGCCCTCAAAGCGCTCCAAATGTCCACTTCCAGGTAGTGCAGAAAGAGTGTTTCAAACCGGCTCCATAAAAGCGAATATTGTACTCTGTGACTTGAATGCAAACATCACAAAGCACTTTCTTAGAATGCTTCCGTCTAGATTTTATATGAAGATATTCCCGTTTCAAAGGAAATCTTCCTAGCTATCTAAATATCAACTTGCAGATTCTACTAAAGGAAAGTTTCCAAAATGCTGTATCCACACAAAGGTTCAACTCTGTTAATTGAGGACATACAGCACAAAGTAGTTTCTGAGAATGCTTCTGTCTTGATTTTATATGAAGATATCCCGTTTCCAACGAAATCGTCAAAGGTATCCAAATATCTACTTGCAGATTCTACAAAAAGAGTGTTTCAGAATGGCTCTGTCAAAAGGAAGGTTCAACTCTGTTACTTGAGTACACACATCACAAGGAAGTTTCTGAGAATACTTCTGTCTGGTTTGTAGGAGAAGATATTTCCTTTTTCACCATAGGCCTCAAAGTGCTGCCAATGTCCACTTCCAAATATTACAAAAAGAGTGTTTCAAACCTGCTCTATGAAAGGAAGCGTTCAACACTATGAATTGAATGCAAACATCACAGAGAAGTTTCTGAGAATGCTTCTGTCTTGATTTTATGTGAAGATATTCCCGTTTCCAACGAAACCTTCAAATCTATCCAAGTATCCACCTGCAGATTCTACCAAAAGAGTGTTTCCAAAGTGCTGTATCAAAAAAAAGGTTCAACTCTGTTAGTTGAGGACACACATCGCAAATAAGTATCTGAGAATGCTTCTGTCTAGTTTTTATTTGAAGATATTTCCTTTCTCACCATAGGCCTGAAAGCGCTTGAAATGTCCGCTTGGAGGTAGTATAGAAAGAGTGTTTCAAACATGCTCTATGAAAAGGAAAGTTCAGTTCTGTGACGTGAATGCAAACATCACAAAGAAGTTCCTGAGAATGCTTCTCTCTAGATTTTATATGTAATCCCGTTTCCAACGAAATCCTCAAAGCTATCCAAATATCCACTTTCAGATTCCACAAAAAGAGTGTTTAAAAACTGCTCTGTAAAAAGAAAGGTTCATCTCTGTTAGTTGAATACACACATCACAAACAAGTTTCTGAGAATGCTTCTGTCTAGTTTATATGGGAAGATATTTCCTTTTTCAACATAGGCCTCAAAGCGCTCCAAATGTCCACTTCCAGGTAGTGCAGAAAGAGTGTTTGAAACCTGCTCTATAAAAGGGAACATTCTACTCTGTGACTTGAATGAAAACATCACAAAGCAGTTTCTGAGAATGCTTCCGTCTAGATTTTATATGAAGATATTCCCGTTTCCAAGGAAATCTTCCTAGCAATCTAAATATCAACTTGCAGATTCTACTAAAGGAATGTTTCCAAAATGCTGTATGGAAACAAAGGTTCAAATCTGTTAATTGAGGACATACAGCACAAAGAAGTTTCTGAGAATGCTTCTGTCTAGATTTTATATGAAGATATCCCGTGTCCAACGAAATCCTCAAAGGTATCAAAATATCCACTTGCAGATTCTACAGAAAGAGTGTTTCAAAACTGCTCTGTCAAAAGGAAGGTTCAACTCTGTTACTTGAGTACACACATCACAAGGAAGTTTCTGAGAATGCTTCTGTCTGGTTTTTAGGAGAAGATATTTCCTTTTTCACCATAGGCCTCAAAGCGCTGCCAATGTCCACTTCCAAATATTACAAAAAGGGTGTTTCATACCTGCCCTATGAAAGGAAGTGTTCCACTCTATGAGTTGAATGCAAACATCACAGAGAAGTTTCTGAGAATGCTTCTGTCTTGATTTTATGTGAAGATATTCCCGTTTCAAACGAAACCTTCAAAGGTATCCAAGTATCCACCTGCAGATTCTACCAAAAGAGTGTTTCCAAAGTGCTGTATCAAAACAAAGGATCAACTCTGTTAGTTGAGGACACACATCGCAAATAAGTTTCTGAGAATGCTTCTGTCTAGTTTTTATTTGAAGATATTTCCTTTCTCACAATAGGCCTGAAAGCGCTTGAAATGTCCGCTTGCAGATACTACAGAAAGAGTGTTTCAAACATGCTCTATGAAAGGGAATGTTCAGTTCTGTGACGTGAATGCAAACATCACAAAGAAGTTCCTGAGAATGCTTCTCTCTAGATTTTATATGTAATCCCGTTTCCAACGAAATCCTCAAAGCTATCCAAATATCCACTTTCAGATTCCACAAAAAGAGTGTTTCAAAACTGCTCTGTAAAAAGAAAGGTTCATCTCTGTTAGTTGAATACACACATCACAAACAAGTTTCTGAGAATGCTTCTGTCTAGTTTATATGGGAAGATATTTCCTTTTTCAACATAGGCCTCAAAGCGCTCCAAATATCCACTTCCAGGTAGTGCAGAAAGAGTGTTTGAAACCTGCTCTATAAAAGGGAATATTCTACTCTGTGACTTGAATGCAAACATCACAAAGCACTTTCTGAGAATGCTTCCGTATAGATTTTATATGAAGATGTTCCCGTTTCCAAGGAAATCTTCCTAGCTATCTAAATATCAACTTGCAGATTCTACTAAAGGAATGTTTCCTAAATGCTGTATCCACACAAAGGTTCAACTCTGTTAATTGAGGACATACAGCACAAAGAAGTTTCTGAGAATGCTTCCGTCTAGAGTTTATATGAAAATATCCCGTGTCCAACGAAATCCTCAAAGGTATCAAAATATCCTCTTGCAGATTCTACAAAAAGAGTGTTTCAAAACTGCTCTGTCAAAAGTAAGGTTCAACTCTGTTATTTGAGTACACACATCACAAGGAAGTTTCTGAGAATGCTTCTGTCTGGTTTTTAGGAGAAGATATTTCCTTTTTCACCATAGGCCTGAAAGCGCTGCCAATGTCCACTTCCAAATATTACAAAAAGAGTGTTTCAAACCTGCTCTATGAAAGGAAGTGTTCCAATCTATGAGTTGAATGCAAACATCACAGAGAAGTTTCTGAGAATGCTTCTGTCTTGATTTTATAATGAAGATATTCTCGTTTCCTACGAAACCTTCAAAGGTATCCAAGTATCCACCTGCAAATTCTACAAAAAGAGTGTTTCCAAAATGCTGTATCAAATCAAAGGTTCAACTCTATTAGTTGAGGACACACATCGCAAATAAGTTTCTGAGAATGCTTCTGTCTAGTTTTTATTTGAAGATATTTCCTTTCTCACCATAGGCCTGAAAGCGCTTGAAACGTCGGCTTGCAGATACTACAGAAAGAGTGCTTGAAACCTGCTCTATGAAAGGGAATGTTCAGTTCTGTGACTTGAATGCATACATCACAAAGAAGTTCCTGAGAATGCTTCTCCCTAGATTTTATATGTAGTCCCGATTCCAACGAAATCCCCAAAGCTATCCAAATATCCAATTTCAGATTCCACAAAAAGAGTGTTTTAAAACTGCTCTGTAAAAACAAACGTTCATCTCTGTTAGTTGAATACACACATCACAAACAAGTTTCTGAGAATGCTTCTGTCTAGTTTTTATGGGAAGATATTTCCATTTTCATCATAGGCCTCAAAGCGCTCCAAATGTCTACTTCCAGGTAGTGCAGAAAGAGTGTTTCAAACCTGCTCTATAAAAGGGAACATTCTACCCTGTGACTTGAATGAAAACATCACAAAGCAGTTTCTGAGAATGCTTCCGTCTAGATTTTATATGAAGATATTCCCGTTTCCAGGGAAATCTTCCTAGCTATCTAAATATCAATTTGCAGATTCTACTAAAGGCATGTTTCGAAAATGCTGTATCGACACAAAGGTTCAACTCTGTTAATTGAGGACATACAGCACAAAGAAGTTTCTGAGAATGCTTCTGTCTAGATTTTATATGAAGATATCCCGTTTCCAAACAAATCCTCAAAGCTATCCAAATATCCACTTGCAGATTCTACAAAAAGACTGTTTCAAAACTGCTCTGTCAAAAGTAAGGTTCAACTCTGTTACTTGAGTACACACACCACAAGGAAGTTTCTGAGAATGCTTCCGTCCGGTTTTTAGGAGAAGATATTCCCTTTTTCACCATAGGTCTCGAAGCGCTGCTAATGTCCACTTCCAAATATTACAAAAAGGGTGTTTCAAACCTGCTCTATTAAACGAAGCGTTCAACACTATGAGTTGAATGCAAACATCACAGAGAAGTTTCTGAGAATGCTTCTGTCTTGATTTTATATGAAGATATTTCCGTTTCCAACGAAACCTTCAAAGCTATCCTAGTATCCACCTGCAGATTCTACCAAAAGAGTGTTTCCAAAATGCTGTATCAAAAAAAAGGTTCAACTCTCTTAGTTGAGGAGACACATCGCAAATAAGTTTCTAAGAATGCTTCGGTCTAGTTTTCATTTGAAGATATTTCCTTTCTCAACCATAGGCGGGAAAGCGCTTGAAATGTCCGCTTGCAGATACTACAGAAAGAGTGTTTCAAACCTGCTCTATGAAAGGGAATGTTCAGTTCTGTGACTTGAAGGCAAACATCACAAAGAAGTTCCTGAGAATGCTTCTCTCTAGATTTTATATGTAATCCCGTTTCCAACGAAATCCTCAAAGCTATCGAAATATCCACTTTCAGATACCACAATAAGAGTGTTTCAAAAATGCTCTGTAAAAAGAAAGGTTCATCTCTGTTAGTTGAATACACACATCACAAACAAGTTTCTGAGAATGCTTCTGTGTAGTTTTTATGGGAAGATATTTCCTTTTTCAATATAGGCCTCAAACCGCTCCAAATGTCCACTTCCAGGGAGTGCACAGACTGTTTTAAACCTGCTCTATGAAAGGGAACATTCTACTCTGTGACTTGAATGAAAACATCACAAAGCACTTTCTGAGAATGCTTCCGTCTACATTTTATATGAAGATATTCCCGTTTCCAAGGAAATCTTCCTAGCTATCTAAATATCAACTTGCAGATTCTACTAAAGGAATGTTTCCAAAATGCTGTATCCACACAAAGGTTCAACTCTGTTTATTGAGGACATACAGCACAAAGAAGTTTCTGAGAATTCTTCTGTCTAGATTTTATATGAAGATATCCCGTTTCCAAAGAAATCCTCCAAGGTATCCAAATATCTACTTCCAGATTCTACCAAAAGACTGTTTCAAAACTGCTCTGTCTAAAGTAAGGTTCAACTCTGTTACTTGAGTACACACATCACAAGGAAGTTTCTGAGAATGCTTCTATCTGGTTTTTAGGAGAAGATATTTCCTTTTTCAACATAGGCCTCAAAGCGCTGCCAATGTCCACTTCCAAATATTACAAAAAGAGTGTTTCAAACCTGCTCTATGAAGAGAAGTGTTCAACTCTATGAGTTGAATGCAAACATCACAGAGAAGTTTCTGAGAGTGCTTCTGTCTTGATTTTATATGAAGATATTCCCGTTTCCAACGAAACCTTCAAACCTATCCAAATATCCACCTGCACATTCTACCAAAAGAGTGTTTCCAAAATGTTGTATCAAAACAAAGGTTCAACTCTGTTCGTTGAGGACACACATCGCAAATAAGTTTCTGAGAATGCTTTTGTCTAGTTTTTATTTGAAGATATTTCCTTTCTCACCATAGGCCTGAAATCGTTTGAAATGTCCGCTTGCAGATACTACAGAAAGAGTGTTTCAAACCTGCTCTATGAAAGGGAATGTTCAGTTCTGTGACTTCAATGCAAACATCACAAAGAAGTTGCTGAGAATGCTTCTCCCTAGATTTTATATGTAATCCCGTTTCCAAGGAAATCCTCAAACCTATCCAAATATCCAATTTCAGATTCCACAAAAAGAGTGTTTTAAAACTGCTCTGTAAGAAGAAAGGTTCATCTCTGTTAGTTGAATACACACATCACAAACAAGTTTCTTAGAATGCTTCTGTCTAGTTTTTATGGGAAGATATTTCCTTTTTCAACATAGGCCTCAAAGCGCTCCAAATGTCCACTTCCAGGTAGTGCAGAAAGAGTGCTTCAAACCTGCTCTATAAAAGGGAATATTCTACTCTGTGACTTGAATGCAAACATCACAAGGCACTTTCTGAGAATGCATCCGTCTAGATTTTATATGAAGATATTCCCGTTTCCAAGGAAATCTTCCTAGCTATCTAAATATCAACTTGCAGATTCTAGTAAAGGAATGTTTCCAAAATGCTGTATCCACACAAAGGTTCATCTCTGTTAGTTGAATACACAAATCACAAACAAGTTTCTGAGAATGCTTCTGTCTAGTTTTTATGGGAAGATATTTCCTTTTTCAACATAGGCCTCAAAGCGCTCCAAATGTCCACTTCCAGGTAGTGCAGAAAGAGTGTTTCAAACCTGCTCTATAAAAGGGAACATTCTACTCTGTGACTTGAATGAAAACATCACAAAGCAGTTTCTGAGAATGCTTCCGTCTAGATTTTATATGAAGATATTCCCGTTTCCAAGGAAATCTTCCTAGCTATCTAATTATCAACTTGCAGATTCTACCAAAGGAATGTTTCCAAAATGCTGAATCGAAACAAAGGTTCAACTCTGTTAATTGAGGACATACAGCACAAAGTAGTTTCTGAGAATGCTTCAGTCTAGATTTTATATGAAGATATCCCGTGTCCAACGAAATCTTCAAAGCTATCAAAATATCCACTTGCAGATTCTACAAAAAGAGTGTTTCAAAACTGCTCTCTCAAAAGTAAGGTTCAACTCTGTTACTTGAGTACACACATCACAAGGAAGTTTCTGAGAATGCTTCTGTCTGGTTTTTAGGAGAAGATATTTCCTTTTTCACCATAGGCCTGAAAGCGCTGCCAATGTCCACTTCCAAATATTACAAAAAGAGTGTTTCAAAACAGCTCTATGAAAGGAAGTGTTCACCTCTATGAGTTGAATGCAAACATCACAGAGAAGTTTCTGAGAATGCTTCTGTGTTGATTTTATATGAAGATACTCCCGTTTCCAATGAAACCTTCAAAGCTATCTAAATATCCACCTGCAGATCCTACAAAAAGAGTGTTTCCAAAATGCTGTATCAAAACAAAAGTTCAACTCTGTTAGTTGAGGACACACATCGCAAATAAGTTTCTGAGAATGCTTCTGTCTAGTTATTATTTGAAGATATTTCCTTTCTTACCATAGGCTTGAAAGTGCTTGAAACGTCCGCTTGCAGATACTACAGAAAGAGTGTTTCAAACCTGCTCTATGAAAGGGAATGTTCAGTTCTGCGACTTGAATTCAAACATCACAAAGAAGTTCCTGAGAATTCTTCTCTCTAGATTTTATATGTAATACCGTTTCCAACGATATCCTCAAAGCTATCCAAATATCCACTTTCAGATTCCACAAAAAGAGTGTTTTAAAACTGCTCTGTAAAAAGAAAGGTTCATCTCTGTTAGTTGAATACACATATCACAAACAAGTTTCTGAGAATGCTTCTGTCTAGTTTTTATGGGAAGATATTTCCTTTTTCAACATAGGCCTAAAAGCGCTCCAAATGTCCACTTCCAGGTAGTGCAGAAAGAGTGTTTCAAACCGGCTCCATAAAAGCGAATATTGTACTCTGTGACTTGAATGCAAACGTCACAAAGCACTTTCTTAGAATGCTTCCGTCTAGATTTTATATGAAGATATTCCCGTTTCCAAGGAAATCTTCCTAGCTATCTAAATATCAACTTGCAGATTCTACTAAAGGAATGTTTCCAAAATGCTGTATCCAAACAAAGGTTCAACTCTGTTAATTGAGGACATACAGCACAAAGTAGTTTCTGAGAATGCTTCTGTCTTGGTTTTATATGAAGATATCCCGTTTCCAACGAAATCGTCAAAGGTATCCAAATATCTACTTGCAGATTCTACAAAAAGAGTGTTTCAAAATGGCTCTGTCAAAAGGAATGTTCAACTCTGTTACTTGAGTACACACATCACAAGGAAGTTTCTGAGAATGCTTCTGTCTGGTTTTTAGGAGAAGATATTTCCTTTTTCACCATAGGCCTCAAAGCGCTGCCAATGTCCTCTTCCAAATATTACAAAAAGAGTGTTTCAAACCTGCTCTATGAAAGGAAGTGTTCCACTCTATGAGTTGAATGCAAACATCACAGAGAATTTTCTGAGAATGCTTCTGTCTTGATTTTATGTGAAGATATTCCCCTTTCCAATGAAACCTTCAAAGGTATCCAAGTATCCACCTGCAGATTCTACCAAAAGGGTGTTTCCAAAGTGCTGTATCAAAACAAAGGTTCAACTCTGTTAGTTGAGGACACACATCGCAAATAAGTTTCTGAGAATGCTTCTGTCCAGTTTTTATTTGAAGATATTTCCTTTCTCACCAGAGGCCTGAAAGCGCTTGAAATATCCACTTGCAGATACTACAGAAAGAGTGTTTCAAACATACTATATGAAAGGGAATGTTCAGTTCTGTGACGTGAATGCAAACATCACAAAGAAGTTCCTGAGAATGCTTCTCTCTAGATTTTATATGTAATCCCGTTTCCAACGAAATCCTCAAAGCTATCCAAATATCCACTTTCAGATTACACAAAAAGAGTGTTTCAAAACTGCTCTGTAAAAAGAAAGGTTCATCTCTGTTAGTTGAATACACACATCACAAACAAGTTTCTGAGAATGCTTCTGTCTAGTTTTTATGGGAAGATATTTCCTTTTTCAACATAGGCCTCAAGGCGCTCCAAATGTCCACTTCCAGGTAGTGCAGAAAGAGTGTTTCAAACCTGCTCTATAAAAGGGAACATTCTACTCTGTGACTTGAATGAAAACATCACAAAGCAGTTTCTGAGAATGCTTCCGTCTAGATTTTATATGAAGATATTCCCGTTTCCAAGGAAATCTTCCTAGCTATCTAAATATCAACTTGCAGATTCTACTAAAGGAATGTTTCCAAAATGCTGTATCGAAACAAAGGTTCAACTCTGTTAATTGAGGACATACAGCCCAAAGAAGTTTCTGAGAATGCTTCTGTCTAGATTTTATATGAAGATATCCCGTGTCCAACGAAATCCTCAAAGGTATCAAAATATCCACTTGCAGATTCTACAAAAAGAGTGTTTCAAAACTGCTCTGTCAAAAGGAAGGTTCATCTCTGTTACTTGAGTACACACATCACAAGGAAGTTTATGAGAATGCTTCTGTCTGGTTTTTAGGAGAAGATATTTCCTTTTTCACCATAGGCCTCAAAGCGCTGCCAATGTCCACTTCCAAATATTACAAAAAGAGTGTTTCAAACCTGCTCTATGAAAGGAAGTGTTCCACTCTATGAGTTGAAAGCAAACATCACAGAGAAGTTTCTGAGAATGCTTCCGTCTAGATTTTATATGAAGAGATTCCCGTTTCCAACGAAATCTTCCTATATAAATATCAACTTGCAGATACTACTAAAGGAATGTTTCCAAAATGCTGTATCCAAACAAATGTTCAACTCTGTTAGTTGAGGACACACATCGCAAATAAGTTTCTGATAATGCTTCTGTCTAGTTTTTATTTGAAGATATTTCCTTTCTCACCACAGGCCTGAAAGCGCTTGAAATGTCCGGTTGCAGATACTACAGAAAGAGTGTTTCAAACATGCTCTATGAAAGGGAATGTTCAGTTCTGTGACGTGAATGCAAACATCACAAAGAAGTTCCTGAGAATTCTTCTCTCTAGATTTTGTATGTAATCCCGTTTCCAACGAAATCCTCAAAGCTATCCAAATATCCACTTTCAGATTCCACAAAAAGAGTGTTTCAAAACTGCTCTGTAAAAAGAAAGGTTCATCTCTGTTAGTTGAATACACACATCACAAACAAGTTTCTGAGAATGCTTCTGTCTAGTTTTTATGGGAAGATATTTCCTTTTTCAACATAGGCCTCAAAGCGCTCCAAATGTCCACTTCCAGGTAGTGCAGAAAGAGTGTTTCAAACCTGCTCTATAAAAGGGAACATTCTACTCTGTGACTTGAATGAAAACATCACAAAGCAGTTTCTGAGAATGCTTCCGTCTAGATTTTATATGAAGATATTCCCGTTTCCAAGGAAATCTTCCTAGCTATCTAAATATCAACTTGCAGATTCTACTAAAGGAATGTTTCCAGAATGCTGTATCAAAACAAAGGTTCAACTCTGTTAATTGAGGACATACAGCACAAAGAAGTTTCTGAGAATGCTTCTGTCTAGATTTTATATGAAGATATCCCGTGTCCAACGAAATCCTCAAAGGTATCAAAATATCCACTTGCAGATTCTACAAAAAGAGTGTTTCAAAACTGCTCTGTCAAAAGGAAAGTTCATCTCTGTTACTTGAGTACACACATCACAAGGAAGTTTCTGAGAATGCTTCTGTCTGGTTTTTAGGAGAAGATATTTCGTTTTTCACCATAGGCCTCAAAGCGCTGCCAATGTCCACTTCCAAATATTACAAAAAGAGTGTTTCAAACCTGCTCTATGAAAGGAAGTGTTCCACTCTATGAGTTGAATGCAAACATCACAGAGAAGTTTCTGAGAATGCTTCCGTCTAGATTTTATATGAAGAGATTCCCGTTTCCAACGAAATCTTCCTATCTAAATATCAACTTGCAGATACTACTAAAGGAATGTTTCCAAAATGCTGTATCCAAACAAAGGTTCAACTCTGTTAGTTGAGGACACACATCGCAAATAAGTTTCTGAGAATGCTTCTGTCTAGTTTTTATTTGAAGATATTTCCTTTCTCACCACAGGCCTGAAAGCGCTTGAAATGTCCGGTTGCAGATACTACAGAAAGAGTGTTTCAAACATGCTCTATGAAAGGGAATGTTCAGTTCTGTGACTTGAATGCAAACATCACAAAGAAGTTCCTGAGAATGCTTCTCTCTAGATTTTGTATGTAATCCCGTTTCCAACGAAATCCTCAAAGGTATCCAAATATCCACTTTCAGATTCCACAAAAAGAGTGTTTTAAAACTGCTCTGTAAAAAGAAAGGTTCATCTCTGTTAGTTGAATACACACATCACAAACAAGCTTCTGAGAATGCTTCTTTCTTGATTTTATATGAAGATATTTCCGTTTCCAACAAAATCTTCAAAGCTATCCAAATATCCACCCGCAGATTCTACAAAAACAGTGTTTCCAAAATGCTGTATCAAAACAAAGGTTCAACTCTGTTAGTTGGGGACACACATCACTAATAAGTTTCTGAGAATGTTTATGTCCAGTTTTTATTTGAAGATATTTCCTTTCTCACCATAGGCCTGAAAGCGCTTGAAATGTCCACTTGCAGATACTACAGAAAGAGTGTTTCAAACCTGCTCTATGAAAGGGAATGTTCAATTCTGTGACTTGAATTCAAACATCACAAAGAAGTTCCTGAGAATGCTTCTCTCTAGAGTTTATATGTAATCCCGTTTCCAACGAAATCCTCAAAGCTATCCAAATATCCACTCTCAGATTCCACAAAAAGAGTGTTTCAAAACTGCTCTGTAAAAAGAAAGGTTCATCTCTGTTAGTTGAATACACACATCACAAACAAGTTTCTGAGAATGCTTCTGTCTAGTTTTTATCTGAAGATATTTCCTTTTACACCGTAGGCCTGAAAGCGTTCCAAATGTCCACTTCGACATGCTACAAAAAGAATATTTGAAACCTACTCTATGAAAGGGAATGTTCAACTCAATGAGTTGAACGCAAACATCACAAAGTAGTTTCTGAGTGTGCTTCTGTCTATATTTTATCTGAAAGTATTCCCTTTTCCAATGAAATCTACAAAGCTATCCAAATATCCACTTGCAGACTCTACAAAAGGAATTTTTCCAAAATGCTGGATCCAAACAAGGGTTGAACTCTGTTAATTGAGGACATACATCACAAAGGAGTTTCTGAGAAAGCTTCTGTCTTGATTTTATATGAAGATATATCCGTTTCCAATGAAAACCTCAATGCTACCCGAATATTCACTTGCCGATTGTACAAAAAGTGTGTTTCAAAACTACTCTGCCAAAAGATAGGTTCAACTCTGTTAATTGAGTATACACATCTCTAAGAAGATTCTGAGAATGCTTTCTTCTAGTTTTTTTGGGAAGATATTTCCTTCTTCACCACAGGCCTCGAAGCGCTGGAAATGTCCATTTCCACATATTACACAAACAGTGTTTGAAACCTGCTGTATGAAAGGGAATGTTCAAGTCTATGAGTTGAATGCAAACATCACAAAAAAGTTTCTGAGAATGCTTTTGTCTTGATTTTATATGAAGATATTGCCGTTTCCAACGAAATTTTAAAAGCTCTTCAAATATACACTTGTAGCTTCTACAAAAAGAGTGTTACCAAACTGCTGTATGAAAACAAACGTTCAACTCTGTTAGTTGAGGACACCCATCACAAATACGTTTCTGAGAATGCTTCTGTGTAGTTTTTATTAGAAGACACTACCTTTCTCAACATAGTCCTGAAAGCGCTTGAAATGTCCACTTCCAGATACTACAAAAAGATCGTTTCAAACCTGCTCTATGAAATGGAGTGCTCATCTCTGGGACTTGAATGGAAATATCAGAAAGAAGTTTCTGAGAATGCTGCTATCTACTTTTTATATGTAATCCCGTTTGCAACGAAATCCTCAAATCTATCTAAATACGCACATTCAGATTCCAAAAAAAGAGTGTTTCACACATGCTCTATCAGTAGAATGGTTGAACACGGTTAGTTTAGTAGATACAGCTTAAATAAGTTTCTGAGATTGCTTCTATCTCTTTTTTATGGGAAGATACTTCCTTTTTTACCATAGGCCACAAATCTCTCCAAAAGTCCACTTCCAGATACTACAAAAAGTGTGTCTCAAACCTGCTCTATGAAAGGGAATGTTCAAATCTGTGACTTGAATGGAAACATCACAAAGAAGTTTCTGAAAATGCTGCTGTCTATATTTTATATGTAATCACGTTTCCAACGAAATCCTCAAAGCTATCCAAATATCCACTTGCAGATTCCACAAAAAGACTGTTTCAAAACAGATGTATCAAAAGAATGGTTCAAGTCTGTTAGTTGAGGACACACATCACAAGTTTCTGGGAATGCTTCTGTCTTGTTTTTATGGGAAGATATTCTCGTTTCCAATGAAATCGTCAAAGCCATCCAAGTATCCCCTTGCAGATACTACAAAAACAGTGTTTCAAAAGTGCTCCATAAAAAGAAAGGTTCATATCCGTTAGTTGAGGACAGACATCAGAAATAAGTTTCAGAGAATGCTTCTGTCTTGTTTTTATGGGAAGCTACTTCCTTTTTCACCGTAGGCCTGACAGTGTTGGAAATGTCCACTTCCAGATACTACAAAAAGAGTGTTTCAAACCTGCTCTATGAAAGGGAATGTTCAACTCTGTGACTTGAATGCAAACATCACAAAATTTTCTCAGAATGCTGCTGTCTACTTTTTATATGTAACCCCGTTTGCAACGAAATCCTCAAAGCTATCCAAATATCCACTTGCAGATTCTACAAAAAGAGTGTTTCAAAGGTCCTCTATCAAAAGAAAGGTTCAACTCTGTTTGTTGAGTACACACGTCACAAACATGATTCTGAGAATGCTTCTCTCTAGCTTTTATGGGAAGATATTTCCTTTTTCACCATAGGCTTCAAAGAGCTCGAAATGTCCACTTCGAGATACTACAAAAAGACTGTCTCAAACCTGCTGTATGAAAGGGAATGCTCAAATCTGTGACATGAAAGGAAACATCACAAAGAAGTTTCTAAGAATGCTGCTCTCTACTTTTTATATGTAATCCCGTTGCCAAGGACATCCTCAAAAGTATCCAAATATCCACTTGCAGATTCTCCAAAAAGAGTGTTTCAAAACTGCTGTATCAAAAGAAAGGTTCAAGTTTGTTAGCTGAGGACACACATCACAAATATGTTTCTGAGGATGCTTCCATCTTGTTTTTATGGGAAGATATTTCCTTTTCATCCATAGGCCTGATACCGTTGCAAATGTCCACTTCCAGACACTACAAAAAGAGTGTTTCCAACCTGTTCTATGAGAGGGAATGTTTAACTCTGTGACTTGAATGCAAACATCACAAAGAAGTTTCTGAGAATGCTGCTGTCTACTATTTATATGTAATCCCGTTTCCAACGAAATACTCAAATCTATCCAAATGTCCACATGCAGATTCCAAAAAAAGAGTGTTTCAAACCTGCTCTAAGAATAGAAAGGTTCAACACTGTTACGTGAGTAGATACAGCATAAACAAGTTTCTGAGATTGATTCTATCTCATTTTTATGGGAAGATAGTTCCTTTTCCAACATAGGCCTCAAAGCGCTCCAAATGTCGACGTCCAGAGACTACAAAAAGAGTGTCTCATACCTCCTCTATGAAAGGGAATGTTCAACTCTGTGACTTGAATGCTAACATAACAAAGAAGTTTCTGAGAATGCTCCTGTCTAGATTTTATAGGAAGATATTCCCGTTTACAATGAAATCGTCAAAGCTATCCCAATAACCACTTGCAGATACTACAAAAAGGGTGTTTCAATAGTGCTCTATAAAAAGAAAGGTTCAAGTCCGTTAGTTGAGGACACACATAAGAAATAAGTTTCTGAGAATGCTTCTCTCTTGTTTTTATGGGAAGATATTTCCTTTTTCACTGTAGGCCTGAAAGCGTTAGAAATGTCCACTTCCAGATACTACAGAAAGTGAGTTTCAAACCTGCTCTATGAAAGGGAATGTTCAACTCTGTGACTTGAATGCAAACATCACAAAAAGTTTCTCAGAATGCTGCTGTCTACCTTTTTTATTTAATCCCGTTTGCAACGAAATCCTCAATGCTATACAAATGTCCACTTGCAGATTCTAGAAAAAGACCGTTTGAAAACTGCTGTATCAAGACAAGTTCAAGTGTGTTAGTTGAAGACACACATCACAAGTAAATTTCTGAGAATATTTCTGTCTTTTTTATATGAGAAGATATTTACTTTTTAACAATAGGCATGAAAGCTTTCGAAGTGTCCACTTCCAGATACTACAAAAAGATTGTTTCAAACCTGCTCTATGACAGGGAATGTTCAACTCTGTGACTTGAATGCAAACATCACAAAGAAGTTTCTGAGAATGCTTCTGTCTAGATTTTATACGAAGATATTCCAGTTTCCAACGAAAACATCAAAGCCATGCAAATATCCACTAGCAGATACTACAAAAAGAGTGTTCCAAAAGTGCTCTATAAAAAGAAAGGTTCATGTCCATTAGTTGAGGACACACATCAGAAATAAGTTTCTGAGAATGCTTCTGTCTTGTTTTTATGGGAAGATATTTCCTTTTTCACCGTAGGCCTCAAAGCGTTGGAAATGTCCACTTCCAGATACTACAAAAAGAGTGTTTCAAACCTGCTCTATGAAAGAGAATGTTCAACTCGGTGACTTCAATGCAAACCTCACAAAGAAGTTTCTGAGAATGCTTCTGTCTAGATTTTATAGGAAGATATTCCCGTTTCCAAAGAAATCGTCAAAGCAATCCAAGTATCCAATTTCAGATAGTACAAAAAGAGTGTTTCAAAAGTGCTCTATAAAAAGAAAGGTTCAAGTCCGTTAGTTGAGGACACACATCAGAAATAAGTTTCTGAGAATGCTTCTGTCTTGTGTTTATGGGAAGATATTTCCTTTTTCACCGTAGGCCTGAAAGCAGTGGAAATGTCCACTTCCAGATACTACAAAAAGTGTGTTTCAAACCTGCTCTATGAAAGGGAATGTTAAACCCTGTGACTTGAATGGAAACATCACAAAGAAGATTCTGAGAATGCTGCTGTCTACTTTTTATATGTAATCCCGTTTCCAACGAAATCCTCAAAGCTATCCAAATGTCCACTTGCAGATTCTACAAAAAGAGTGTTTCAAAACTGCTGTATCAAAAGGCAGGTTCCAGTCTGTTAGTTGAGGTCACACATCACAAATATGTTTCTGAGAATGCTTCTGTCTTGTTTACATGAGAAGATATTTCCTTTTTAACCATAGGCCTGAAAGCGTTCGAAGTGTCCACTTCCAGATACTAAAAAAAGATTGTTTCAAACCTGCTCTATGACAGGGAATGTTCAACTCTGTGACTTGAATGCAAACATCACAAAGAAGTTTCTGAGAATGCTTCTGTGTAGATTTTATAGGAAGATATTCCCGTTTCCAACGAAATCGTCAAAGCCATCCAACTATCCACTTGCAGATAGTACAAAAAGAGTGTTTCAAAAGTGCTCTATAAAAAGAAAGGTTCAAGTCCGTTAGTTGAGGACACACATCACAAATAAGTTTCTGAGAATGCTTCTGTCTTGTTTTTATGGGAAGATATATCCTTTTTCTCCGTAGGCCTGAAAGCGTTGGAAATGTCCACTTCCAGATACTACAAAAAGAGTGTTTCAAACCTGCTCTATGAAAGGGAATGTTCAACTCTGTGACTTGAATGCAAACATCACAAAGAAGTTTCTGAGAATGCTGCAGTCTACTTTTTATAAGTAATCCCTTTTCCAACGAAATCCTCAATTCTATCCAAGTATGCACCTGCAGATTCCAAAAAAAGAGTGTTTCACACCTGCTCTATCAATAGAAAGTTTGCACACTGTTCGTTGAGTAGATACAGCATAAACAAGTTTCTGAGATTGCTTCTATGTTGTTTTTATGGGAGGGTACTTCCTTTTTTACCGTAGGCCACAAAGCGCTCCAAATGTCCACTTCCAGATACTACAAAAAGAGTGTATCAAACCTGCTCTATGAAAGGGTATGTTCAACTCTGTGACTTGAATGCAAACATCACAAAAAGTTTCTGAGAATTCTACTGTCTACTTTTTATATGTAATCCAGTTTCCAACGAAATCCTCAAAGCTGTCCAAATGTCCACTTGCAGATTCTACAAAAAGAGTGTTTCAAAACTGCTGTATTAAAAGGCAGGTTCAAGTCTGTTAGTTGAGGACACACATCACAAATAAATTTCTGAGAATGCTTCTGTCTTGTTTATATGAGAAGATATTTCGTTTTTAACCATAGGCCTGAAAGCGTTCGAAGTGTCCACTTCCAGATACTACAAAAAGATTGTTTCAAACCTGCTCTATGACAGGGAATGTTCAACTCTGTGACTTGAATGCAAACATCACAAGAAGTTTCTGAGAATGCTGCTGTCTACTTTTTATATGTAATCCCGTTTGCAACGAAATCCTCAAAACTATCCAAATGTCCACTTGCAGATTCTAGAAAAAGAGTGTTTGAAAACTGCTGTATCAAGACAGTTTCAAGTCTGTTAGTTTAGGACACACATCACAAATAAGTTTCTGAGAATGCTTCTGTCTTCTTTATATGAGAAGATGTTTCCTTTTTAACCATAGGCCTGAAAGCGTTCGAAGTGTCCACTTCCAGATACTACAAAAAGATTGTTTCAAACCTGCTCTATGACAGGGAATGTTCAACTCTGTGTCTTTTATGCAAACATCACAAAGTAGTTTCTCAGAATGCTTCTGTCTAGATTTTATAGGAAGATATTCCCGTTTCCAACGAAATCCTCAAAGCCATCCAAATATCCACTTGCAGATACTACAAAAAGAGTGTTTCAAAAGTGCTCTATAAAAAGAAAGGTTCATGTCCGTTAAGTGAGGACAGATATCAGAAATAAGTTTCTGAGAGTGCTTCTGTCTTGTTTTTATGGGAAGATATTTCCTTTTTAACCATAGGCCTGATACCGTTCCAAATGTCCACTTCCAGATACTACAAAAAGAGTATTTCAAACCTGCCCTATGAAAGGGAATGTTCAACTGTCTGATGTGAAGGCAAACATCCCAAAGATGTTTCTGAGAATGCTTCTGTCTAGAATTTATATGAAGATATTCGCGTTTCCACCGAATTCCTCAAAGCTATCCAAATATCCACTTGCAGATTCTAGAATAAGTGTGTTTCAAAACTGCTCTATGAAAAGAAAGGTTCAACTCTGATAGTTGAGTACACACATCACAAAGTAGTTTCTGAGAATATTTCTGTCTAGTTTTTATGGGAAGATATTTCCTTTTTCAATAAAGGCCACAGTGCGCTCGAAATGTCCAGTTCCAGATACCACAAAATCAGTTTTTCAAACCTGCTCCAGAAAAGGGAATATTCACCCCTGTGACTTGAATGCAAACATCACAGATATGTTTCTGAGAATGCTTCTTTCTAGATTTTGTATTAGGATATTCCCGTTTCCAACGAAATCCTCAAAGCTATCCAAATACCCACTTGCAGATTCTCCAAAAAGAGTGTTTCAAAACTGCTCTATCAAAAGAAAGGTTCACCTCTGTTAGTTGAGTACACATATCACAGACAAGTTTGTGAGAATGCTTCTGTCTAGTTTTTATGCGAAGATATTTCCTTTTACACCATAGGCCTCAAAGTGATCCAAATGTCCACTTCCAGATACTACAAAAAGAGTGTTTCAAACCTGCTCTATGAAAGGGAATGTTCAAATCTGTGACTTGATTGCAAACATCACAAAGATGTTTCTGATAATGCTTCTGTCTAGATTTTATATAAACATATTCCCGTTTCCGATGAAATACTCAAAGCTATCCAAATATCCTCTTGTAGATTCTACCAAAAGATTGTTTCAAACTGTTCTATCAAAAGAAAGGTTCAACTCTGTTAGTTGAGTACACACATCACAAACAAGTTTATGAGAATGGTTCTGTCTAGTTTTTATGCCAAGGTACTTTCTTTTTCACCACAGACCTCAAAGCGATCCAAATGTCCACTTCCAGATATTACAAAAAGAGTGTTTCAAACCTGCTCTAAGAAAGGGAATGTTCAACACTGTTACTTGAATGCAAACATCCGAAAGATGTTTCTGAGAATGCTTCTGTGTAGATTTTACCTGAAGATATTCCTGTTTGCAACGAAATCCTCAAAGGTATCCAAATATCCACTTGCAGATTCTACAAAAAGACTGTTTCAAAACTACTCTATCAAAAGAAAGTTTCAACTGTGTTAGTTGAGTACACACATCACAAACTAGTTTCTGAGAATGTTTCTGTCAATTTTTATGGGAAGATATTTCCTTTTTCAATATAGGCCACAATGCACATGAAATGTCCAGTTCCAGATACTACAAAATCAGTGTTTCAAAGCTGTTACAGTAAAGAGAAAGTTCAACTATGTGTCTTGAATGCAAACATCACAGAGATGTTTCTGAGAATGCTTCTGTCTAGATTTTATATGAAGATATTTCCGTTTCCAACGAAACCGTCAAAGCTATCAAAATATCCACTTGCAGATTCTACAAAAAGAGTGTTTCAAAACTGCTCTATCAAAAGAAAGGTTCAACTCTGTTAGTTGAGTACACACATCACAAACAGGTTTATGAGAATGCTTCTGTCTAGTTTTTATGCGAAGATATTTCCTTTTTCACCATGAGCCTCAAAGCGATCAAAATGTCCACTTCCAGATACCACAAAAAGAGTGTTTCAAACTTGCTCTATGAAAGGGAATGTTCAACTCTCTGATGTGAAGGCAAGCATCCCAAAGATGTTTCTGAGAATGCTTCTGTCTAGATTTTATATGAAGATACTCGTGTTTCCACCGAAATCCTCAAAACTATCCAAATATCCACTTTCAGATTCTACAAAAAGTGTGTTTCAAAACTGCTCTATCAAAAGAAAGGTTGAACTCTGATAGTTGAGTACACACTTCAGAAACAGGTTTATCAGAATGCTTCTGTCTAGTTTTTATGCGAAGATATTTCCTTTTACACCGTAGGCCTCAAAGCGATCCAATTGTCCACTTCCACATACCACAAAAAGAGGGTTTGAAACCTGCTCTAATAAAGGGAATGTTCAACTCTGTGTCTTGAATGCAAACATCCCATAGATGTTTGTGGGAGTGCTTCTGTCTAGTTTTATGGGAAGATATTTCCTTTTTCAATAAAGGCCACAATGTGTTCGAAATGTCTAGTTCGAGATAGCCCAAAAAGAGGCTTTCAAACCTGCTCTATGAAAGGGAATGTTCAACTCTGTGACTTGAATGCAAACATCCCAAAGATGTTTCTGAGAATGCTTCTGTCTAGATTTTTATATGAAGATATTTTCGTTACTAATGATACCCTCAAATCTATCCAAATATCCACTTGCAGATTCTACAAAAAGAGTGTTTCAACACTGCACTATCAAAAGAAAGGTACAACCTTGTTAGTTGACTACCCACATCACAAACAAGTTTATGAGAATGCTTCTGTCTAGTTTTTATGGTAAGATATTTCCTTTTTCACCATGGGCCCCAAATCAATACAAATATCCACTTCCAGATATTAAAAAAAGAGTGTTTGAAACATGCTCTATGAAAGGGAAAGTTCAACTCTGGGACTTGAATGCAGACATCACAGAGATTTTTCTGAGAATGCTTGTGTCTAGATTTTATATGAAGATATTCCATTTCCAACGAAATCCTCAAAGCTGACCAAATATCCTCTTGCAGATTCTACAAAAAGAGTGTTTCAAAACTGCTGTATCAGAAGAGAGGTTCAATTCTGTTAGTTGAGTACACACAGCACAAACTAGATTCTGAGAATGCTTCTCTGTAGTTTTTATGTTAAGATATTTCCTTTTTCACTACAGGCCTCAAAGCGTTCCAAACGCCCAGTTCGAGATACTGCAACATCAGTGTCTCAAACCTGCTCTATGAAAGCAAATGTTCAACTCTGTGACTTGAATGCAAACATCACAAAGAAGTTTCTGATATTGCTTCTGTCTAGATTTTATATGAAGTTATTCCCGTTTCCAATGAATTCCACAGAGCTATCCAAATATCCACTGGCAGATACTGCAAAAAGAGTGTTTCAAAACTGCTCTATCAAAAGAAAGCTTCAACTCTGTTAGTTGAGAACACACATCTCAAAGTAGTTTCTGAGAATGCTTCTGTATAGTTTTTATGCGAAGATATTTCCTTTTTCACCATAGGCCTCAAAGCGATCAAAATGTCCACTTCCAGATACAGCGAAAAGAGTGTTTCAAACCTGTTCAATGAAAGGGAATGTTCAACTCTGAGACTTGAATGCAAACATTCCAAAGATGTTTCTGAGAATGATTCTGTCTTGGTTTCATATGAATATGTTCCATTTAAAACGAAATCCTCAAAGATATCCAAATATCCAATAGCAGATTCTACAAAGGGAGTGTTTCCAAACTGCTCTATCAAAAGAAAGGTTCAACCCTGTTAGTTGACTACACACATCACAAATTAGTTTCTGAGAATGCTTCTGTGTAGTTTTTATGGGAAGATATTTCCTTTTTCACCATAGTCAAAAAAGCATTACAATGTCCAGTTCCAGATACAACAAAATCATTGTTTCAAACCTGCTCTATGAAAGGGAATGTTCAACTCTGAGACTTGAATGCAAGCATCCCAAAGATATTTCTGATAATGCTTCTGTATAGATTTTATAAGAAGATATTCCCGTTTCCAACGAAATACTCAAAGCTATCCAAATATCCACTTGCTGATTCTAGAAAAAGAGTGTTTCAAAACTGCTCTATCAAAAGAAAAGTTCTACTCTGTTAGTTGAGTACACACATCACAAACTGGTTTCTTAGAATGCTTCTGTGTAGTTTTTATGGGAAGATATTTCCTTTTTTACCATAGGCCACAAAGCACTCCAAATGTCCAGTTCCACATACTACAAAATCATTGTTTCAAACCTGCCCTATTAAAGGGAATGTTCAACAGTGTGAGTTGAATGCAATCAGCACATTCTGAGAATGCTTCTCTCTAGATTTTATATGAAGGTATTCCTGTTTCCAACAAAATCCTCAAAGCTATAAAATATACTCTTACAGATTCTACGAAAAGGGAGTTTCAAATCTGCTCTATCAAAAGAAAGGTTCGACTCAGTTAGTTGAGTGGACACATCACGAACTAGTTTCTGAGAATGCTTCTTTCTAGTTTTTATGGGAAGATATTTCCTTTTTCACCTTAGGCCACAATGCGCTCAAATGTCCACTTCCACATAAGACAAAATCAGTGTTTCAAACCTGCTCTATGAAACGGAATGTTCAACTGTGTGACTTGAATGCAATCATCACAGAGATGTTTCTGAGAATGATTCTGTCTAGATTTTATATGAAGATATTCCCGTTTCCAACGAAATCCTCAAAGCTATCCTAATATGCACTTGCAGATTCTACAAAAAGAGTGTTTCAAAACTGCTCTATCAAAAGAAAGCTTGAACTCTGTTGAGTACACACATCACAAAGAAGTTTATGAGAATGCTTCTGTCTAGTTTTTATGCGAAGATATTTACATTTTTAACCGTAGTCCTCAAATCGATCAAATTGTCCATTCCAGATATTACAAAAAGAGTGTTTCAAACCTGCTCTATGAAAGAGAATGTACAACTCTGTGACTTGAGTGCAAACATCCCAAAGTTGATTCTGAGAATACTTCTTTCTAGATTTTATATGAAGATATTCCCGTTTCCAACGACATACCCAAAGCTATCCAAATATCTACTTGCAGATTCTACAAAAAGTGTGTTTCAAAACTGTTCTATCAAAAGAAAGGTTCAACTTTGTTACATGAGTACACATAACCCAAAGAAGTTTATGAGAATGATTCTGTCTAGTTTTTATGCGAAGATATTTCCTGTTTCACCATAGGCCACAAAGCGATCCAAATGTCCACTTCCAGATATTACAAAAATACTTTTTCAAACCTTCTCTATGAAAGGGAATGTTCAACTGTGAGACTTGAATGCAAACAGCCCAAAGATGTTTCTGAGAATGCTTCTGTCTAGATTTTATTTGAAGATATTCCCCTTTTGAACGAAATCCTCAAACTATCCAAATATCCATTTGCAGATTCTACAATAAGAGTGTTTCAAAACTGCTTTGTGAAAAGAAAGGTTCAACTGCGTTAGTTGAGTACACTCATCACATACCTGTTTCTGAGAATGCTTCTGTGTAGTTTTTATGGGAAAATATTTCCTTTTTCACCATAGGCCAAAAATCGCTCCAAATATCCAGGTCCAGATACTACAATAATCAATGTTTCAAACCTCCTCTATGAAAGTGAATGTTCACCTCTGTGACTAGAATGCAAACATCACAGAGATGTTTCCGAGTATGCTTCTGTCTAGATTTTATATGAAGATATTCCAGTTTCCAATGAAATCCTCAAAGCTATCCAAATATCCACTTGCACATTCTACAAAAAGAGTGTTTCAAAACTGCTCTAATAAAAGAAAGGTTCATCTCTGTTAGTTGAGTACAGACATCACAAACTAGTTTCTGAGAATGCTTCTGTCTAGTTTTTATGGGAAGATATTTCCTTTTTCAATACAGGCTACAAAGCGCTACAAATGTCCAGTTCCAGATACTACAATATCAGTGTTTCTAACCTGCTCTATGAGAGGGAACGTTCAACTCTGTGACTTGAATGCAATCATCACATTCTGAGAATGCTTGTCTAAATTTTATATGAAGATATTCCCGTTTCCAACGAAATCCTCAAAGCTATCCAATTATCCACTTGCAGATTCTACAAAAAGAGTGTTTCAAAATTGCTCTATCAAAAGAAAGGTTCAACTCTGTTAGTTGAGTATACACATCACAAACTCGTTTCTGAGAATGCTTCTGTCTAGCTTTTATGGGAAGATATGTCCTTTTTCACCATAGGCCTCTAAGTGACTCAAATGTCCACTTCCACATACCACAAAAAGAGTGTTTCAAACCTGCTCTATGAGAGAGAATGTTCAACTCTCTGACTGGAATGCAAACATCCAAAAGATGTTTCTGAGAATGCTTCTGTCCAGATTTTATAGGAAGATATTCCCGTTTTTAACGAAATCCACAAAGCTGTGCAAATATCCACTTGCAGATTCTACAAAGAGAGTGTTTCAAAACTGCTCTATCAAAACAAAAGTTCAACTCTCTTAGTTGAGTACACAGATCACCAACTGGTTTCTGAGAATGCTTCTGCCTAGTTTTTATGGGAAGATATTTCCTTCTTCACCATACGCCACCAGGGTGTCCAAATGTCCATTTTGAGATACGACAAAATCATTGTTTCATACCTGCTCTATGAAACGGAATTTTCAACTCTCTGACTGGAATGCAAACATCCAAAAGATGTTTCTGAGAATGCTTCCATCCAGATTTTATAAGAAAATATTCCCATTTCCAACGAAATCCACAAAGCTGTCCAAATATCCACTTGCAGATTCTACAAAAAGGCTGTTTCAAAACTGCTCTATCAAAAGAAAAGCTTGTCTCTGTTAGTTGAGTACACATATCGCAAAGTAGTTTCTGAGAATGCTTCTGTGTAATATTTATGGGAAGATATTTCTTTTTTCACCATAGGCCACAAAGCGTTCTAAATGTCCAGTTCCAGATACTACAAAATCAGTGTTTCAAACCTGCTCTATGAAAGGGTGTGTTCAACTCTGTGACTTGACTGCAAACATCCCAAAGTAGTTTCTGATAATTCTTCTGTCTAGATATTATATGAAGATGTTCCCGTTTCCTACGAAACCCTCAAAGCTATCCAAATATCCACTTGCAAATTCTACAAAAAGTGTGTTTCAAAGCTGCTCTAACAAAAGAAAGGTTCAACTCTGTTAGTTGAGTACACACATCCTAAACAAGTTTCTGATAATGCTTCTGTCTAGTTTTTAATGGGAAGTTATTTCCTTTTTCACCATATGCCACAAAGCACTCCAAATGTCCAGTTCCACATACTACAAAAGCAGTGTTCCAAACCTGTTCTATGAAAGGGAATGTTCAACTCTGTGACTTGAATGCAAACATCACAAAGAAGTTTCTCTTAATGCTTCTGTCTAGATTTTATATGAAGATATTTCCGTTTCCAACGAAATCCTCAAATCTATCCAAATATCCACTTGTAGATTCTACAAAAAGAGTGTTTCAAAACTGCTCTATCAAAAGAAATTATCAACTCCGTTAGTTGAGTACACACATCACAAAATAGTTTCTCAGAATGCTTCTGTCTAGTTTCTATGGGAAGATAATCCCTTTTTCACCATAGGCCACAATGCGCCCCAAATGTGCCATTCCAGATACTACAAAATAAGTGTTTCAGACCTGCTCTATGAAAGGGAATGTTCAACGTTGTGACTTGAATGCAAACATCGCGAAGATGTTTCTGAGAATGCTTCTGTCTTGATTTTATATGAAGATATTCCCTTTTCCAACAAATTCCGCTAAGCTATCCAAATATCCACTTGCAGAATCCACAAAAAGAGTGTTTCAACATTGCTTTATCAAAAGAAAGGTTCAACTCTGTTAGTTGACTACACTCATCACTAACAAGTTTCTGAGAATGCTTCTGTCTAATTTTTATGGGAAGATATTTCCTTTTTCACTAAAGGCTTCAAAGCGATCAAAATGTCCACTTCCAGATGCTATAAAAAGACTGTTTCAAACATGCTGTATGAAAAGGAATGTTCAACTCTGTGACTTGAATGCAAGCATCCCAAAGATGTTTCTGAGAATCCTTCTGTCTAGATTTTATATGAAGATATTCCCGTTTCCAATGAAATCCTCAAAGCTCTCGAAATATCCACTTGTAGATTCTACAAAAAGAGTGTTTCTAAACTGGTCTATCAAAAGAAAATTTCAACTCTGTTAATTTAGTACACAATCAAAAACTAGTTTCGAATGGAGACGAATGGAAACATCATTGAATGGAGTCAAATGGAATCATCATTGAATGGAGTCCAATCGAATCATCAATGAAAGGAATCGAATGAAATCATCATCAAATTGAATCAAATGGAATCATCAACGAGTGGAAACGAATGGAGTCATCGAATGGAATCGAATGGTGTCATTGAATGGACATGAAAGGAATCATCGAATGGAATCGAATGGAATCACCATCTAATGTAATGTTATGGAATCATCGAATGTACTCAAAAAGAATCATCATCAAATGAAATCGAATGTAATCATTGAATGGAATTCAATGGAATCATCATCAAATGGAATCGAATGGAATCATCGAATGGAATCTAATGGAATCATCAATGAATGGAATCGAATGGAATCATCTAATGGACGCGAACAGAATCATCTTTGAAAGCAATGAAATGTAATCATCCAATGGACACGAATGGAATCATCATTGAATGGAATCGAATGGAATCATCATCGAATGGAATCGAATGGAATCATCAAATGGAATAGAATGGAGTCATCATTGAATGTAATCGAATGTAACATTGAATGGCATCAAATGGAATCATAGACTGGAAGAGAATGGAATCATCATCAAATGGAAATGAATAGAATCACCGAATGAAATCGAATGGAATCATCATCGAATGGAGTCGAATGGAATCATATTCGAATGGAATCGATTGGAATCATTGAGTAGGCACGAATGGAATCATCATTGAATGGAATCGAATGGAATCATCAAATGGACTCGATTGGAAACAACATCAAATGGAATTGAATCTAATCATTGAATGGCATCGAGTGGAATCATCACTGAATGGAATCTAAGGGAATCATCAAATGGACTAGAATGGAATCATTGAATGGACTCGAGTGGATTCATCATCCAATGGAATCAAATGTAATCATTGAATGGGCTCGAAGGGAAACATCATTGAATGGAATCAAATGGAATCAACGAGTGGACTCGAATAGAATCATCATCGAATGGATGGAATCGAATGGAATCAATGAATGGACTCGAATGGAGTCATCATCGAATGGAATCAAATGGAATCCCCTAATCGACCTGAAAGGAATCGTCATTGAATTTAATCGAATGGAATCATCGAATGGACTCGAATGGAATCATCATCGAATATAATTGGAAACAGTCATCAAATGGATTCAAATGGAATCATCGAATGGTCTCAAATGGAATCATCATCGAATGAAATAAAATGGAATCATCCAATGGACTCAAATGGAATCGTCATTGAATGGAATCAAATGTAATCATCTAATGGAATCGAATGGAATTATCATTGAATGAAATCTAATGGAATCATCAAATGACACGAATGGAATCATCATAGAATAGAATTGAATGGAATCATTGAATGGACTCAAATGGAATCATCATCAAATGGAATAGAATGCAATCATCAAATAGAATCAAATGTAATTGTCATCGAATGAAATCGCATTGAATTATTGAATGAGCTCAAATGGAATCATCATCGCATGGAATCGAATGGAATAGTCATCGAATGGACACGAATGGAATCATTATCAAGTGGAATCGAATGGAATCATCATCAAATGGAATCAAATAGACTCATCATCAAATGAAAGCAAATGGAATTAGCAAATGGAATAGAACAGAATCACCTTCAAATGGAAAAAAATAGAATCATCAAATGAAATCAAATGGAATAATCATCAAATGGAATCAAATGGAATCATCATCAAATTTAATCGAATAGACTCATTATCAAATGGAATGTAATGGAATCATCGAATGACTCAAATGGAATCATCATTGAATGGAATGAAATGGAATCATAGAGTGGAATCTAATGGAATCATCATCGAATGGAACCAAATGGAATCACCATCAAATGTAACCGAAAGGAGTAATCATCAAATGGAATCAAATGGACTCATGATCGAATGGAATCGAATGGAATCATCATTGAATGGAATCGAATTGTATCACCAAATTCAATCGAATGGAATGATCATCAGATGGAATCGAAAGGAATCATCGAATGGGATGGAATGGAATCATCGAATGGGATGAAATGGAATCATCAAAGGGAATCGAATGGAATCATTGAATGGACTCGAATGGAATCATCATCAAATGGACTCTAATGGAATCATCATCGAATGGACTCTAATGGAATCATCATCGAATGGAATTGAATGGAATCATCATTGAATGAAATCAAATGGAGTCATCATCAAATGCAATCAAAGGGAATCATCATTGAAAGGAATCGAATGGAATCATGGTATGGAATTGAATGAAATCATCATTGAATGGAATCGAATGGAATCATGGAAAGGAATTGAATGGAATCACCACTGAATGGAATCGAATGGAATAATCATCTAATGGAATTCAGTGGAATCATCGAATGGACTCGAATGGAATCATCATCAAATGGAACCAAATGGAATCATTAATGAGAGTAATCAAAAGGAGTCATCATCGAATGGAATCGAATGGTAACATCGAATGGACATGAATTGAATCATCATCGAATGCAATCGAATGGAATCATCGAATGGACTCGAATGGAATCATCGAATACACTTTAATGGAATCATCCTCGAATGGAATCAAATAGAATCATCATCGAATGGAATCAAATGGAATAATCATTGAGTGGACTCGAACAGAATCAGCATCAAATGGAATGCAATGGAATCATTGAATGGACTTGAATGGAATCATCTAGGAATGGAATCGAATGGAATCATTGAATGGAATCAAATGGATTCATCGAATGGACTCTAATGGAATCATCCTCGAATGGAATCGAATAGAATCATCATCAAATGGAACGAATGGAATCATCATTGAATGGAATCGAATGGAATAATCATCCAATGGAATCGAATGGAAACATCAACGACTGAAATCGAATGGAATCATTGAATAGAATTGAATGGAATCAACGAATGGAAGTGAACGGACTCATCTTCGAATGGAATCGAATGGAATCATTGAATGGAATTGAATGGAATCACAATTGAATGGAATTGAATTAAATCATCATTGAAAGAATTGAATGGAATCATCAAATGGGCTCGAACTGATTCATCATTAAATAGAATCCAATGGAAACATTGAAAATTGTTGAGTGGAATCATCATTGAATGGAATCGAATGGAAACATCGAATGGACTCGAATGGAATTGACATTGAATAGAATCGAATGGAATCATCGAATGGATTCGAATGGAATCATCATTGAATGGAATCGAATGGAATCATTGAATGGACTCAAATGGAATCATCATCGACTGGAATCGAATGGAATCATCATCAAATGGACTCTGGTGGAATCATCATCAAGTGGAATCATCATCGAATGTAATTGAATGGAAACATCATTGAATGGAAATGAATGGAATCATCATCAAATGCAATCGAATGGAATCATCATCCAATGGAATCAGAATGAATCATCATCCAATGGAATCCAATGGAATCATCGATTGGAAATGAAGGGAATCATCATCGAATGGAATCGAATGTTATCATCATCGAATGGATTCGAATGGAATCATTTTATGGACTCTAAGACAGTCATCATCAATGGAATCGAATGGAATAATCATAAAATAGAAGGGAATAGAATCATCAAAAGAAATCGAATGGAATTATCTTCGAATGGAATCGAATGGAATCATCATCGAATGAAATCATCGTCAAATGGAATCAAATGAAATCATCATTGAATGGAATCAAATGAAATCATCCACGAATGGAATCGAACGGAACCATCGAATGGAAACTAATGGAATCATCATCCAATGGAACCAAATGCAATCATCATCAAATGAAACCTAATGGAATCATCATCGAAAGGAATTGAACGGAATCCGTGAATGGAATCAAAGGGAATCATCATCAAAAGTAATTGAAGTGAAGCATCGAATGGAATTGATTTGAATCATCAAATAGAATTGAATGGAATCATCATTGAATGGACTCGAATTGAATCATAATGGGATGGAATCGAATGGAATCATCAAATAGTCTCAAATGGAATGATTGATTGGACTAGAATGGAATCATCATTGAATGGATATGAATGGAATCATCATCGAATGGAATCAATTGGAATTGAATGGAATCATTGAATGGACTCGAAAGGAATCATCATCGAATGGAATCGAATGGAATCATCATCGAATGGAATGAATGGAATCATCATCGAATGGAATCAAATGGAATCATCGAATGGAATTGAATGGAATCATCATCATATGGAACCGAATGGAATCATTATCAAATAGAACAAAATGGAGTCATCATCGAATGGAATCGAATGGAATTATAGAAAGGGAACGAACGGAATCATCGAAGGGAATTGAATGGAATCATCAAACAGATTCGTATGGAATCATCATCGAATGGAATTGAATGGAATCATGGAATGGACATGAATGGAATCATCCTCAAGTGGAATCAAATGGAATCATCGAATGGGCACAAGTGGAATCATCCCTGAATGGAATTGAATGGAATCATCAAATGGCATCAAATCTAATCATCACCAAATGGAATCTAATGGAATTATAGAATGAACAATAATGGAATCATCGAATGGACTTAAGTGGAATCACCATCAAATGGAATCATTGTATGGACGTGAATGAAATCATCCTCGAATGGAATCAAATGGAGTCATAATCAAATGGAATCGAATGGATTCATCATCGATTGGAATAGAATGGTATCACCAAATTGATTCAAACGGAATGATCATCGAATGGAATCGAAGGGAATCATCTAATGGGATTGAACGGAGTCATCTAATGGAATCGAGTGGAATCATTGAGTGGATTCGAATGGAATCATCATTGAATGGAATCGAATGGAATCATCGAATGGACTCGAATGGAATCATCATTGAATGGAAGCGAATGGAATCATTGAATGGCATCGAATGGAACCAGCATCAAATGGAATCTAATGGATTAATGGAATGGACTTGAATGGAATCATCGAATGGACTCGAGAGGAATCGCCATCGAATGGAATCGAATAGAATCATTGAATGGACTCCAATGGAATCATCATCGAATGGAATAGAATTGAATCATTGAATGAAGTCGAATGGAATCATCATGGAGTGGAATCAAATGGAATCATCGAATGGAGTCGAATGGAATCATCATTGAATGGAACCAAATGGAATCATTGAATGGACCCAAATGGAATCGTCATTGAATGGAATAGAATGGAATATTCGAATGGACAAGAAAGGAATCACCATCAAATGCAATCGAATGGAATCATCATCGAATGGAATCAAACGGAATCATCATTGAATGGAATCGAAAGGAATCATCAAATAAAATAGAATTGAATCATCATCGAATGGAATTGAATAGAAACATCAAATGAAATCGAATGGAATCATCATCGAATGGAATCGAATGGAATCATCATCTAATGACATTGAATGGAATCATCATCGAATGGAATCGAATGGAATCATCATCGAATGGAATCATCAATGAATGGAATCGAATGGAATCATCAAATGGAATCTAATGGAATCTTCATCGTATGGAACTGAGTGGAATCATCATCAAATGGAACCAAATGGAATCATCATCGAATGGAATCAAAGAGAATCATCAATGAATGGAATGGAATCATCAAATGGAATCTAATGGAATCATCATCATATCGAACCTAATGGAGTCAGCATCGAATGGAATCAAATGGAATCAGCATCGAATGGAATCTAATGGAATCATCATCGAATGGTTGAGAATGCAATCAGCATCGAATGCAATCAAATGGAATCATCGAATGGAATAGAATGGAATGACCATCGGAGGGAATCGATGGGAATCATCAAATGGAATTGAACGGTATGATTGAATGGATTTGTATGGAATCGTCCAATGGACACTAATGGAATCATCATCAAATGGAATCGAATGGAATCATCAAATGGAATCGAATGGAATCAACATTGAATGGAAGCGAATTGAATCATCGAATGGAATCCAACGGAATCATCCTCGAATGGAATCACATAGAATCATTGAATGGAATCAAATGGAATCCTCATTGAATGGAATAGAATGGAATCATAGACTGTTATGGAATGGAATCATCATCAAATGGAATCAAATGGAATCATCATAGAATGGAATCAAAAGCAAACATCAAATGGATTCAAACAGAATCATTGAATGGACACGAATGGAATCATTATCCAATGGAATGGAATGGAACCAATGAATGGAATCAAATGGAATCATCATCGAATTGAATTGATTGGAAGCATCTAATGTAATGGAATGGACTCTTCATTGAATGGAATTGAATGTAATAATCGAATGGACACTAATGGAATCCTCATCGAATGGAAGGGCATGGAATCATCGAATGGAGTCAAATTTAATCATCATCGAATGTAATCAAATGGAATAATTGTGGAATGGACTCGAAAGGAATCATCGAATGGACATGAATGGAATCATCGAATGGATTCAAAAGAAATCATCATCAATGGAATCGAATGGAATGAAAATCTTATGGAATCAAAAGGAATCATCATCGAAAGGAATCGAATGGAATCATCATTGAATGGAATTGAAAGGAATCAGTGAATGGAATCGAATGGAATCATCATCAAAAGTAATTGAAGTGAATCATCGAATGGAATCAATTTGAATCATCAAATAGAATTGAAAGGAATCATTGCATGGACTCGAATCATAATGGGATGGAATCGAATGGAATCATCGAACAGACTCAAATGGAATGATCAATTGGACTCGAATGGAACCATCATCGAATGGATATGAATGGAATCATCATCAAATGGAATCAAATGGAATCATCAATGAATGGAAGCGAATGCAATCTTCATCGAATGAAATCGGATGGAATCATTGAATGGCATGGAATGGAATCATCACCGAATGGAGTCAAATGGAATCATTGAAAGGACACGAAATGGAATCATCTTCAAATGGAATTGAATGGAATCATTGAATGGACTCTAATGGAATCATCATCGAATGGAATCGAATGGAATCATCATCGAATGGAATGAATGGAATCATCATCGAATGGAATTGAATAGATTCATCATCAAATGGAATAGAATGGTATCACCGAATTGATTCAAATGGAATGATCATCGAATGGAATCAAAGGGAATCATCTAATGGGATTGAATGGAGTCATTGAATGGAATCGAGTGGAATCATCGAGTGGATTTGAATAGAATCATCATTGAATGGAAGCGAATGGAATCATTGAATGGCATCGAATGGAATCATCATCAAATGGAATCTAATGGATTAATCAAAAGGGCTCGAATGGAATCATCGAATGGACTTGAGCGGAATCATCATCGAATGGAATCAAATATAATCATTGAATGGACTCCAATGGAATCATCATCGAATGGAATCTAATGGAATCATCGAATGGAGTCGAATGGAATCATCATCGAATGGAATCGAATGGAATCATCGAATGGACTCCAATGGAATCATCATCGAATGGAATAGAATGGAATATTCGAATGGACTAGAAAGGAATCACCATCGAATGCAATCGAATGGAATCATCATCGAATGTAATTGAATGGAATCATCATCGAATGGAATCAAAAGGAATCATCAAATAAAATAGAATTAAATCATCATCGAATGGAATCGAATAGAAACATCGAATGAAATCAAATGGAATCATCATCGAATGGAATCAAATAGAAATATCGAATGAAATCGAATGGAATCATCATCGAATGGAATTGAATGGAATCATCACTGAATGACATTGAATGGAATCATCACTGAATGGAATCGAATGGAATCATCAACGAATGGAATCCAATGCAATCATCATCCAAGGGAACCGAATGGAATCATCAGATGGACTCAAACGGAATCATCGAATGGGATAGAATGGAATCATCATCGAGTGGAATCCAAAGGAATCATCGAATGGACTTGAATGGAAACATCTAATGGACTCGAATGGAATCATTATCGAATGGAATTGAATTGAATCATCGAATGGACCCGAATGGAATCAGCAACGAATGGAATCAAATGGAATCATTGAATGGAATCTAATGCAATCATCATTGAAAGGAATTGAATGGAATCATTATCGAATGGAATTGAACGCAATCATCATCGGATGGAATCGAATGGAATCATCATCAAATGGAATCAAATGGAATCATCATCGAATGGAATCGAATGGAATCAAATGGAATCATCATCGAATGGAATCTAATGGTATCATCACCCAATGGAATCGAATGGAATAATCAATGAATGGAATTGAATGGAGTCATCGAATGGAATCGGTTGTATTCATCATCGAATGGAACCGAATGCAGTCATCATTGAATGGAATCGAATGGAATCATCAAACGGACTAGAATGCAATCCTCAAATGGACTCGAATAGAATCATCATCAAATGGAATTGAATGGAATCATCAAAGGGACTCGAATGGAATTATCATAGAATGGAATTGAATGGAATCATTGAATGGACTCGAATGGAATCATCATCGAATGGAATCGAATGGAATCATTGAATGGACTTGAATGGAATCATAGAATTGACTCGAATGGAATCATCGAATTGACTCGAATGGAATCATCATCGAATGGACACGAATGGAATCATCATCAAATGGAATCTGATGGTATCATCAAATAGAATTGAATGGAATCATCATCGACTGGAATTGAATGGAACAATTGAATGGACTCGAGTGGAATCATTGGAGAATGGAGTCAAATGGAATTATCAAATGGACTCGAATGGTATCAATGTTGAATGGAATCAAAGGGAATCATAGAATGGAATAGAATGCAATCATCATCAAATGGAATCAAATGGAATTATCGAATGGAATCATCGAATAGAATCAGATTGAATCATTGAATGGACTCGAATAGAATCATCATTGAATGGAATCGAATGGAATCATCGAAGGGACTCGGATGGAATTATCATAGAATGGAATTGAATGGAATCATTGAATGGACTCAAATGGAATCATCATCGAATGGACATGAATGGAATCATCATCGAATGGACTCGAATGGAATCAGCATCGAATGGACTCCAGTGGAATCATCATCAAATGGAATCCAATGGAATCATCGAATGGAATTGAATGGATTCATCATCGACTGGAATTGAATGGAACAATTGAATGGACTCGAGTGGAATCATTGGAGAATGGAGTCGAATGGAATTATCAAATGGACTCGAATGGTATCAACTTTGAATGGAATCAAAGGGAATCATAGAATGGAATTGAATGCAATCATCATCGAATGGAATCGAATGGAATTATCGAATGGAATCAAATAGAATCATCGAACGGACTCGAATGCAATTATCGAATGGAATGGAATTGAATAATAAATGAAGATGAATGGAATCATCATTGTATGGAATCGAGTGGAATCATCGAATGGACTCGAATGGAATCATCGGAGAATGGAATCAAATAGAATGATCAAATGGACTCGAATGGAATCATCATCGAATGGAATCGAATGGAATCATTGAATGGACACGAATGGAATAATCATCAAATGCAATCAAATGGAGTCATCATAGAATGGAATCCAATGGAATCATCATCTAATGGAATCGAATGGAATCATCGAATGAAATAGAATTGAATCATCATCGAATGGAATCGAATGGAATCATAGAATTGAATCAGACAGAATCATCATCGAATGGAAGGGAATAGAAGCATCGAATGAAATCGAATGGAATCATCATCGAACGGACTCGTATGGAATCATCATCGAATGGACTTGAATGGAATCATCATCGAATGGATTCCAATGGAATCATGATCGAATGGAATCGAATGGAAACATCATCTAATTGAATCAAATAGAATCATCATGGAATTGAATTGAATTGCTCACCATTGAATGGAATCGAATGGAATCATCGAATGGAATTGAATGGAATCATCATTGAATGGAGTCGAATGGAGTCATCATCAAATGGAATAAAATGGAATCATCCAATGGAAGAGATTTGAATCATCATCGAATGGAATCGAATAGAATCATAGAACGAAATCGAAGGGAATCATCATTGAATAGAATTGAATGGAATTAACATCAAATGGAATCGAATGGAATCATCATCGAATGGAATTGAATGGAATCATCATTGAATGGAATCGAACGGAATCATCATCGAATGGAATCGAATGGAATAATCAAATATAATAGAATTGAATCACCATCGAATGGAATCGAATAGAATCATCAAATGAAATCAAATGGAATCATCATTGAATGGAATCGAATCGTCAATGAATGGAATTGAATGGAATCATAGAATGGAATCCAATGTAATCATCATCAAATTGAACCCAATGGAATCATTAAATGGACTCAAATGGAATCATTGAATGGAATCAAATGGAATCATCATTGAATGAAATCAAATGGAATCATCGAATGGACTTGAATGGAATCATCATCGAATGGAATTGAATGGAATCATCGAATGGAATCGAATGGAATCATCATCAAACGGAACCGAATGGTATCATCGAATGCACTGTAATGGAATCATCAATGAATGGTATCGAATGATACCATCAAATGAAATCAAATGGAATAATCTTCAATTGGCATTGAAAGGAATCACCGAATGGACTCGAATGGAATAGTCATCGAAAGGAATCAAATGGAATCTTCAAATGGAATCTAATGGAATCATCACTGAATGGACTAGAATGGAATCATCGAATGGACTAGAATGGAATCATCATCATATGGAATCGAATGGAATCATCAAATGGAATTGAATGGAATCATCATCAAATGTAATCAAATGGAATCATCATCGAATGGAATCAAATGGAATCATCATCGAATGGAATCAAATGGAATCATCATCGAATGGAATCAAAATGAATTAACATCAAATGGAGTAGAATGGATTCCATCATTATCTAATGGAATCCAAAGGAATCATCATTAAAGGGAACCGAATGGAATTGTCATCGAATGGAAACGAAAGGGGCCATTATCGAATGGAATTGCATGCAATCATCATCGAATGAAATCAAATGGAATCATCATCAAATGGAATGTAATGGAATCATCGAATGGAATTGAATGGAATCCTCATCGAATGAATTGAATGGAACCATCGAATGGTCTTGAATGGAATTATTACCAAATGGAATCAAAAGTATTCACCAAATAGAATCGAATGGAATAATCATTGAATGCACCCGAATGGAATCATCATCAAATGGAATCGAAAGGAATTATTGAATTGAATCGAATAGAATCATCGAATGGACTTGAATGGAATCATCGAATGGAATGGAATGGAATAATCAATGAACACGAAAGGAACAATCATTGAATGGAATCAAATGGAATAATCAAATGGAGTCGAATGCTGTCATCATCAAATGGAATCGAATGGAATCATTATCAAATAGAATCAAATTGAATCATCAAATGGAATCAAATGGAATCATCGTCGAGTGTAATCGAAAGGAATCATCAAATGGAATCACATGGAATCATCGAATGGAATTGAATGGAATCAGCATCGAATGAAATCAAATGGAATCAACATTGAATATAATCAAATGGAATCATTGAATGGAATCATCATCAAATGGATTCCAATGGAATCATCAAATGGACGCGAATGGAATCATCATAGAATGGAATTGAATGGAATCATCAAATGGAATCAAAAGGAATCATCATCAAATGGAATCGAATGGTATAATCGAATGCACTCAAATGGAATCATCAATGAATGGTGTGGAATGTATCATTGAATGGAATGGAATGGAATCATCTTCAACTGGAATGGAAAGGAATCACCGAATGGATTCGAATGGAATAATCATCAAAAGAAATCGAATGGAATCATCGAATCAAATTGAATGGAATCATCATCGAATGTAATCGAATGGAATCATCGAGTGGACTCAAATGGAATCATCATCATATGGAATCGAATGGAATAATCTAATGGAATCGAATGGAATCATCATCGAATGGAACCAAATGGAATTATCTAATGGAATTGAATGGAATCATCATCGAATGGAATCAAATGGAATCATCATCGAACACAATCGAAAGAATCAACAACAAATGGACTCGAAAGGAATAATCATCGAATGGAAACGAAAGGAGTCATAATCCAATGGAATCGCATGGAATCATCATCGAATGGAATCAAATGGAATCATCATCAAGTGGATTCTAATGGAATCATCTAAAGGAATTGAATGGAATCATCATTGAATGAAGTGAATGGAATCATCGAATGGTCTCGAAAGGAATCATCATCGAATGGAATTGAATAGAATCGGCATCAAAAAAATCGAATGGAATCATCAATGAATGGAATCGAATGGAATTTTCATCAAATGGAATTGAATGGAATCATCATCAAATAGAATCGAATGGGGTCATCAAATGAAATCGAATGGAATCATCACCAAATAGAATCGAAATAAAACAAAGAATGGAATCCAACGGTATCATCGAATGGAATCAAATAGAATCATCATTGAGTGGGCTCGAATGGAGTCATCATCGAATGGAAATGAATGGAATCATTTAATGGACTCGAATGTAATCATTGAATGGACTTGAATGGAATCATCGAATGGAATCGAATGGAATCATCACCGAATGAAATCAAATGGAATCATCGAATGGACTCGAATGGAATCATCATCGAATGGAGTCAAATGAAATCATGGAATGCACTCGAATGGAATCATCGAATGGACTCAAATGGAATCAATGTCGAGTGGAATCAAAAGGAAACGTCAAATGGACTTGAATGGAATCATCGAATGGACTCGAATGGAATCATCAAATGGAATTGAAAGTAATCTTCGAATGGACTTGAATGGAATCATTGAATGTACTCGAATGGAATCATCATCAAATGGAATCGAATGGAATCATCAAATGGAATCCAATGGAATCATCATTGAATGGAATTGAATGGAATCGTCATTGAATGGAATCGAATTGAATCATCATCGAATGGAATATAATGGAATCATCATCAAATGGAAAGGAATGGAATCATCAACGAATGGAATCAAATGGAGAAATCGAATGAAATCCGTTGGAATCATCATCAGATGGAACCGAATGCAGTCATCATAGAATGGAATCAAATGGAATCATCAAATCTATTAGGAGGGAATCATCATCGAATGGAATTGAATGGAATCACCCAATGGGCTCGAATGGAATCATCATCAAATGGAATCAAATGGAATCATCGAATGGACACGAATGGAATCATTGTTGAATGGAATCCAATGGAATTACCGAATAGCATCAAATGGAATCATCATTTAATGGAATCTAATGGAATCATTGAATGGACTCGAAAGGAATCATCGAATGGACTTGAGTGGAATCATCATCAAATGGAATCAAATGGAATCATTGAATGGACTCGAATGGAATCATCATCGAATGGAATTGAATGAAATCATAATTGAATGGAATCGAATGGAATCATCATCGAATGGAGTAAAATGGAATCATCACTGAATACAATCGAATGGAATCACCGAATTGAATCAAATGGAAAGATCATCGAACGGAATCAAAGGGAATCATCAAATGGGATTGAACAGAGTCATCGAATGGAATCCAGTGGAATCATCTAATGGATTCGAATGGAATCATCATCGAATGGAATCATCAAATGGACTCGAATGGAATCTTCATCGAATGGAATCAAATGGAATTATCGAATGGACACAAATGCAATCATCATTGAATGGAATCGAAAGGAATCATCAAATATCATCGAATGGAATCATCATTGAAAGGAATCGAATGGAATCATCGAATGGAGTTGAATGGAATCATCTTCGAATGGAATAGAATAGAATCATCGAATAGCATCGAACGGAATCATCAAATTGAGTAGAATGGAATCATCAAATGGATTCTAATGGAATCATCATGGAATGTAATCGTACAGAATATTCGAATGGACTCGAATTGAATCATCATTGAATGCAATTGAATGGAATCATCATCGAATGGAATCGAATGGAATCATCATCGAATGGAATCGAATGGAATCTTCGAATGCAATAGAATTGAATCATCATTGAATGGAATCGAATAGAATCATTGAATGAAATCGAATGGAATCATCATTGAATGCAATTGAATGGAATCATCATCGAATGGAATGGAATGGAATCAACAACGAATGGAATCCAATGGAATCATCATCAAATGGAACCAAATGGTATCATCAAATTGACTCGAATGGAATCATCAAATGGACTCGAATGGAATCATCATTGAATGGAATAGAATGGAATAATGGAATGCACTCGAATTGAATCATCGAATGGACTCGAATGGAATCATCATCAAGTTGAATTGAAAGGAATCATTGAATGGACTTGAATGGAATCATTGAATGGACACTAATGGAATATTCATTGAACGGAATCAAATGGAATCATCAAATGGAATCATCGTCGAATGGAATCAAATGGAATCATCATTGAATGGAATCGAATGGAATCATCATGGAATGGAATCAAATGAAATCATCATCGCATGGAAACGAATGGAATCATCATCGAATGGAATTGAATGGAGTCAACGAATGGAATCCTTTGGAATCATCATCGAATGGCACTGAATGCAGTCATCATCGAATGGAATCAGATGGAATTATCAAATTGACGTGAATGGAATCATCATCGAATGGAATTGGACGTAATTATCAAATGGACGTGAATGGAATCATCATTGAATGGAATCAAATGGAATCATCGAATGGACTCGAATGGAATTATCATTGAATGGAATCGAATGGATTCATCAAACGGACTCGAATGGAATCATCATCTGATGGAATTGAATGGAATCATCGAACAGAATGGAATGGAATCATCATCAAATGGAATCCAATGGAATCATGGAATGGAATCGAATGGAATCATCATCAACTGGAATTGAATGGAATCATCGAATGGACTCGAATGGAATCATCAGAGAATGGAAGCGAATGGAATGATTGAATGGACTCGAATGGAATCTACTTTGAATGGAATCAAAGGGAATCATCGAATAGAATCAAATGCAATCATCATCCAATGGAATGAAATGGAATCATCGAATGGAATCGAATGGAATCACCATTGAATGGACTCGAATGGAATCATCATCGAATGGAAATGAATGGAATCATTGAATGGAGTCGAATGGAATCACTATCGAATGGAATCAAATGGAATCATCGAATGGAATCAAATGGAATCATCATCAAATATACTCAACCAGAATCATTGAATGTAATTGAATATAATCATCCTGGAATGCAAAAGAATAGAATAATCAAACGGAATCGAATTGAATCAACATTGAATGGAATTGAATGGAACCATAGAAAGGTATCAAATCAAATCATCATCAAATGGAATCAAATGTAATCGTCATCGAATGGAATCCAAAGCAATTACTGAATGGACTTGAATAGAATCATTGAATGGAGTTGAAAGGAATCATCATCAAATGGAATAGAATGGAATAATTGAATGGACTCGAATGGAATCATCATCAAATTGAATCAAATGAAATCATCGTATGGACTCAAATGGAATCATCGTTGTATGGAATCGAATGTGGTCATCTTCAAATGGAATCATCGAATGGACTCGACTATAATGATCAAACGGACTTGAATGGAATCATCAAAAGGAATCAAATGAAATCATTGAATGGACTCGAATGCAATTATCAAATGCACTTGAATGGAATCATCGAATGGACTCTAATGGAATCATCATCGAATGGAATCATCAAATGTACACGAATGCAATCATTGAATGGACTCGAATGGAATCACCGAATGCACTCAAATGGAATAATCATCGAATGGAATCGAATGGAATCATCCAATGGAATCAAATGGAATCATCAAATGGAATCGAACAGAATCATCATCGAATGGAACCGAATGGAATCATTGAATGGAATCAAAGGCAACCATTGTCAAACAGAATCAAATGGAAACATCATCGGGTAGAATTGAATGGAATCATCAAATGGAATCAAATGGAATCATCGTAAATGGAATCAAGTGGAATCATTGAATGGAATCTAATGGAATCATTGTCGAATGGAATGAAATGGAATCATTGAATGGAATTGAATGGAATCACCAATGAAGGGAATCAAATGGAATCCTCATTGAATGGTTTCAAATGGAATCATCGAATGGACTCAAATGGAATCATCATCGAATGGAAACGTGTGGAATCATTGAATGAACTCGAAATGAATCATAATCGAATGGAATCAAAATGAATCATCATCAAATGGAATCGAAATGAATCATCATCGAATGGAATCACATGGAATCCTCATGGAATGGAATCGTACAGAATCATCATCAAATGGAATTGAATGGAATCATCAATTGGACTCGAATGGAATCATCAAAAGGAATCGAATGGAATCATCAAAAGGACTCGAATGGAATCATAAAATGGACTTGAACAGAATCATTATAGAATGGAATTGAATAGAGTAATTGGATGGACTTGAATGGAATCATCATTGAGTGGAATTGATAGGAATCATTGAATGCACTCGAATGGAATCATCATCGAATGGAATTGAATGGGATCATCGAATGGACTCGAATGTAATCATCATCAAATGGAATTGAATAGAATCATCGAATGGGATCAAATGTAATCATCATATAATGGAATAGAATTGAATCATCGAATGGAATTATCAGATGGAATCAAATGGTATCATCTTTGAATGGATTCAAATGGAATCATCGAAAGGAATTGAATGCAATCATCTTCGAATGGAATAGTATAGACTCATTGAATGGAATCGAATGGAATCACCATTGAATGGACTCGAATGGAATCATCATTGAATAGAATCAAAAGGAATCACCAAATGGACGTGAATGGAATCATTGAATGGGATCGAATATAATCATAAAATATAATCAAATGGAATTATCAAATGGAATCGAATTGAATCATCATCGAATGGAATCGAATAGAACCATCGAATGGAATCGAATGGAATCAACATTGAATGGAATTGAATGGAATCATAGAACAGTATCGAATGGAATCATCATTGAATGGAATTGAATGGAATCATCATCGAATGGAATCGAAAATAAATATTGAATGGACTCAAATATAATCAGTGAATGGAGTTGAATTGAATCATCATCGAATGGAGTAGAATGGAATCATCGAATGGACACGAATGGATTCATCATCGAATTGAATCAAATGGAATCATCGAATGGACTCCAATGGAATCATCATCGAATGGAATATAATGGAATCATCATCAAATGGAGTCAAATGGAATCATCTAAAGGACATGAATGCAGTCATCATCGAATGGAATCGAATGGAATCATCACCGAAAGGAATCGAAAGGAATCATAGAATGGAATCAAACGGAATCATTGAATGGAATCGAATGGAATCATCACTGAATGGACTCGAATGCAATTATCATCGAATGGAATTGAATGGAATCATCGAATGGACTCAAATGGAATAATTGAATGGACTTGAATGGAATAATCAAATGGACTCAAATGGAATCATCGAATGGAATCAAATGGAATGATTGAATGAACTCGAATGGAATCATCATCAAATGGAATGGGATGGAATCATCGAATGGAATCGAATGGAATCATCAAATGGACGTGAATGGAATTATCGAATGGTCTCGAATGGAATCATCAAATGGACGCTAATGGAATCAACATCAAATGGAATCTAATGGAATCATCAAATGGACTCGAATGGAATCATTGAATTGACTCTAATGAAAACATCAAATGGATTCGAATGGAATCATCTTGGAATGGTATCGAATGGAATCCTCAAATAGAATCAAATGGAATTATGAAATGGAATCAAACAGAATCATCATTGAATGGAATCGAATGGAATCATTAAATGGAATCGAAGGCAATCATCATCGAATGGAATCAAATGGAATCATCGAATGGAATCGAATAGAATCATCATCAAGTGGAATTGAGTGGATTATCGAATGGAATTGAATGGAATCATTGTCGAATGGAATGGAATGGAATCAATGAATGGAATTGAATGGAATCACCAATGAATGGAATTGAATGGAATCATCATCGAATGGAATCGAATGGAATCATCATCAAATGGAATCGTGTGAAATCATGTAATGGGCATGAATATAATCATCATCGAATGGAATCGAATGGAATCATCATCAAATAGAATGGAATGGAATCACTGAATGGACTCGAATGGAATCATCATCAAATAGAAATGAATGGCATCAACAAATTGACTCGAATGGAATATAATCAAATGGAATCAAAAGCAATCATCGAATGGACTCAAATGGAATTATCAAATGGACTCGAATGGAATCATCGAATGTACCCGAATGGATTCATAATCAAATGGACTCAAATGGAATGATTGAATGGACTCAAATGGAATAATCGATTGGACTCAAATGGAATTATCAAATGGGCTCGAATGGAATCATCGAATGTACCCGAATGGATTCATAATCAAATGGACTCAAATGGAATGATTGAATGGACTCAAATGGAATAATCGATTGGACTCAAATGGAATTATCAAATGGGCTCGAATGGAAACATTGAATGGACTCGTATGGAATCATTATCAAATGGAATCAAATGGAATCATCAAATGGAATCAAATGGATTCATCGAATGGAATTGATCAGAATCATCATCAAATGTAATCAAATGGAATCATCAAATGGAATTGAATGGAATCAGCATCGAATGAAATCGAATGAAATCATCATCAAATACAATCGAATGGAATATTGGAATGGAATCATCATCAAATGGAGTCCAATGGAACCATGAAATGGACGCGAATGGAATCATCATAGAATGGAATTGAATGGAATCATCGAATGGAATCGAATGAAATCAAATGGTAACATCGAATGCACTCGAATGGAATCATCAACGAATGGTATCGAATGGTATCATCGAATGCAATTGAATGGAATCATCTTCATTTGGGATCAAAAGGAGTCACCGAATGGACTCAAATGGAATAATAATCGAAAGGAATCAAATGGAATCATCGAATGGAATCACTGAATGGACTCGAATGGAATCATCAAATGGACTAGAATGGAATCATCATCGTATAGAATAGAATTGAATCATCATCAAATGTAATCAAATGGAATCATCATCAAATGGAATCAAAAAGAATCAACATCAAATGGAGTCGAATGGAATCATCATCGAATGGAATTCAAAGGAATAATCATCGAATGGAACCGAATGGAATCATCATTGAATGGAAATGAAAGGAGTCATAATCGAATGGAATCACATGGATTCATCGTCGAATGGACTCGAATGGAATCATCATTGAATGGAATTGAAAGGAATCATCAAATGGACTTGAATGGAATCATTCAAAGAACTCGAATGGAATCATCATCGAATGAAATCGAATGGAGTCATCGAATGGACACGAATGGAATCACCATCGAATGGAATCGAGTGGAATCATCGAATGGAATCGAATGGAATCATCATTGAATGGAATTGAAAGGAATCATCATTGAATGGAATCGAATGGAATCATCATTGAATGGAACATAACGGAATCATCATCTAATGGAACCGAATGGAATCATCATCAAATGGAATCAAATGAAATCATCATTGAAAGGAATCTAAGGGAATCATCAAATGGAATCAAACGGAATAATTCAATGGAATTGAATGGAATCATCATCGAATGGACTCAAAAGGAATTATCATCAAACGGCATCGAATGGGATCATCGAATGGACTCAAATGGAATAATTGAATGGAATCGAATGGAATCATCAAATGGAATCGAATGGAAACATCATAGAATGGAATCGAATGGAATCATCGAATGGAATCGAATGGAAACATCATCGAATGGAATCGAATGGAATCATCAAATGGACTGGAATGGAATCATTGAATGGAACGGAATGGAATGATCATCGAATGGAATTGAGTGGAATTCTCGAATGTAATCAAATGGAATCATCAAATGGAATCGAATGGAATCATCATCAAATGGAATTGAATGGAATCTTTGAATGTAATTGAACGCAATCATCATCGAATGGAATTGAATGGAATTATCACCGAATAGAATCAAATGGAATCATTGAGTGGAATTGAATGGAGTCATCATCAAGTGGAATCGAGTGTAATCATCGAATGGAATCGAATGGAATCATCGTCGAATGTATTTGAATGGAATCTTCAAATGAAATCAAATGGAATCATCGAATGGAATTGAAAGGAATCAGCATCGAACAAAATAGAATGGAATCATCATTGAATAGAATCAAATGGAATCATTGAATGGAATTATCATCAAATGGAGTCCAATGGAATCATCAAATGGACTCAAATGGAATCATCGAATGGACTCTAATGGAATCATTGAAGGGAGTCGAATGGAATCATCATCCAATGGAATCAAATGAAATCATCCTCAAATGGAACCGAATGGAATCATCACTGAATGGAATCGAATGGAATCATCAAATTAAACCAGATGGAATCATCTTCGAATGGAATCGAATGAAATCATTGAATGAAATCAAATGGAATCATCATAAATGGAGTCGAATTAAATCATCATCGAATGGAATCCAATGGAATCATCAATGAAGGGAATCGAATGGAATCATCATCGAATGGAATCGAATGGAATCATCAACGAATGGAATCCAATGGAATCATCAAATGAAATCTAATGGAATCATCATCAAATGGAAATGAATGGAATCATTGAATGTACCCGAATGGAATCATCATCGAATGGAATAGAATGGAATCATCTAATTTACACGATTGGAATCATCATCGAATGGAATAGAATGGAATCATCAACGAATGGAATCTAATGGAATCATCTAATGGACCCGAATGGAATCATCATTGAATGGAATAGAATGGAATCATCACCGAAAGGAATCCAATGGAATCATCCAATGGATCCGAATGGAATCATCAGAGAATTGAATAGAATGGAATCATCATCGAATGGAATTGAATGGAATCATCTAATGGACAGGAATAGAATCATCATCGAATGGAATCATCTACTGTACCCAAATGGATTCATCATGGAATGGAATATAGAATGGAATCAAATGGAATCACCATCATATGGAATCAAGTGGAATCATCATTGAATGGATTAGAATGGAATCATTGGAGAATGGAATTGAATGGAATCATCGAATGAACTCGAATGGAATCATCATGGAATGGAATCGAATGGAATCATCTAATGGACCCCAATGGAATCATCATCAAATGGAATCAAATAGGATCAGTGAATGAAATCGAATGGAATCAACATCAAATGGAATCGAATGGAATCAATAGCGAATGGAATTGAAAGCAATCATTGAATGGACTCGAATAGAAACATCTAATGGACTTGAATGGAACCATCATTGAATGGAGTAGAATGGAATCATTGAATGGACCCGAATGGAATCATTATCAAATGGAATAGAATGGAATCATCTAATTTACACAATGGAATCATCATCAAATGGAATAGAATGGAATCATCTAATGGACCCCAATGGAATCATCATTGAATGGAATCAAATGGAATCATCGAATGGACTCGAATGGAATCATCATCAAATGGAATCTAATGGAATCACCTAATGGACCCGAATGGAATCCTCATTGAATGGAATCAATTGGAATCATCGAATGGACTAGAATAGAATCGTCATCAAATATAATTGATAACAATCATCAAATGGATTCGAATAGAATCATCGATTGGACTCAAATGGAATCATCATCAAATGAAATCAAACGGAATCATTGAATGGACATGAATGGAATGCTCATCGAATGGAACCGAATGGAATCAAATGGAATCATCATCGAATAGAATTGAATGGACTCATCGAATGGACTTGAATGGAATCATCATCAAATGGAATCGAATGGAATCATCGAATAGAATTGAACATAATCATCATTGAATGAAATTGCATTGAATTATCGAATGGACTGGAATGGAATCATCATAGAATGGAATCGAATGGAATCATCAAATGGACTCGAATGGAATCATCATCGAATGGAATGGAATGGAATCATCAAATGGATTCAAATGGAATCATCATCGAATGAAATCGAATAGAATGATCTAACGGACTCGAACGGAATCATCATTGAATGGAATCGAATGGAAGCATCAAACGGACATGAATGGAATCATTATCGAATGGAATCGAATGGAATCATCATCAAATGGAATCAAATAGAATCCTCATCGAATGGAATCGAATGGAATCATCGAATGGAATAGAATAGAATCATCTCCGAATGGAAACAAATGGAATCATCGAATGAAATCAAATGGAATCATCATTGAATGGAATTGAATGGAATCATCATCAAATGGAGTCGAATAGAATCATCATCAAATGGAATGGAATGGAATCATCAAATGGATACGAATGGAATCGAGTATAATCTTCGAAAGGACCCGAATGGAATCATGATCGAATGGAATCAAATGGAATCTTCGAATGCACTCGAATGGAATCATCATCGAATGCAATTGAATGGAATCAGCATCGAACGGAATCAAATGGAATCATCATCAAATGGAATCTAATGGAATCCTCGAATATAATATAATTGAATCTTCATTGAATGGAATCGAATAGAATCATCGAATGAAATCAAATGGAATCATCATCAAATGGAATCGAATGGAATCATCATCGAATGGAATCGAATCGAATCATCATCAAATGGAATCGAATGGAATCATCAATGAATGGAATCGAATGCAATCATCATTGACATGAATCGAATGGAATCATCAATGAATGGAATAGAATGGAATCATCGAATGGAATCCCATGTAATCATCATCGAATTGAACCCAATGGAATCATTCCATGGACTCGAATTGCATCATTGAATGGACTCAAATGAAATCATCATTGAATTGAAAAGAATGGAATCATCGAAGAGATTCGAATGGAATCATCATCGAATGAAATCAAATGGAATCATTGAATGGACTCGAATGGAATCATCATCGAATGGACTTGAATGGAATCATTGAATGATCTCGAATGGAATCATCATCGAATGGAATCAGATGGAATCATCGAATGGTTTTGAATGGAATCATCGAATGGACTTGAATGGAATCATCATTGAATGGAATCGAATGGAATCATTGAATGGAATCGAATGGAATCATCATAGAATGGAATCAAATAGAATCGGCATGAAATAGAATCGAATGGAATCATCGTCGAAAGGATTAAAATGGAATTTTGATCAAATGGAATCGAATGGAGTCATCATTGAATAGAATCGCATGGGATTATCAAATGAAATCAAATGGAATCATCATCAAAAAGAATCGAAGTAAAGCAAAGAATGGAATACAACAGACTCATTGAATGTAATCGAATGGAATCACCATTGAAAGAACTCGAATGGAGTCATCATTGAATGGAATCGAATGGAATCATTTAATGGACTCGAATGGAATCATCGAATGGAATTGAATGGAATCACCATAGGATGGAATCGAATGAAATCATGGAATGCACTCGAATGGAATCATCGAATGGACCCAAATGGAATCAACGTCGAGTGGAATCGAAAGGAAACATCAAATGGACTCGAATGGAATCATCATTGAATGGAATCAAAATGAATCATCATCGAATGGAATCGAATGGAATCATCATAGAATGGAATCATCATCGAATGGACTCGAATGGAATCATCATTGAATGGAATCAAATGGAAACATCAAATGGAATCAAATGGAATCATCATTAAATGGAATAAAATGGAATCATCATCGAATGGAATTGAATGGAATCATCAATGAATGGAATCGAAAGGAGTCATCAAATGGAGTCCGTCAGAATCATCATCGAATGGAACCGAAGGCAGTCATCATCAATTGGAATCAAATGGAATCATCAAATGGACTCGATGGAATTATGATCGCATGGAATCAAATAGAATCATCGAATGGACTCGAAGGCAATCATTGAATGGACTCGAAGGGAATCATCATCGAATGGAATCGAAAGGAATCATTGAATGGACTCGAATGGAATTTTCATCGAGTGGAATCGAATGGAATCTTCGAATGGACCCGAATGGAATCATCATCGGATGGAATCAAAAGGAATCATCAAATGAACTTGAATGGAATCACTGAATGTACTCGAATGGAATCATCATCGAATGCAATCGAATGGAATGATCAAATTGACCCAAATGGAATCACTATCGAATGGAATTGAGTGGAATCATCATCGAATGGAATCGAATAGTATGATTGAATGCACTCGAATGGAATCGTCAATGATTGGTATCGAATGGTATCATCGAATGGAGTCGAACGGAATCATCTTCAATTGGCATCGAAATCAATCACGGAATGGACTCAAATGGAATAATCATCAAAAGAATCGAATGGAATCATCGAATGGAATCGAATGGAATCATCATCGAATGGAATTGAGTGGAATCATCGAATGGACTCGAATGGAATCATCATCAAAAGGAATCAAATTGAATCATCATAGAATGGAATCGAAAAGAATCAACATCAAATGGAGTTGAATGGAATCATCATCAAATGGAATCCAAAGGAATCATCATCGAATGGAAACGAAAGGAGTCATCGTCGAATGGAATCACATGGAATCATCATGAAATTGAATCGAATGGAATCATCATCAAATGGAATCTAATGGAATCATTGAATGGAGTTGAATGGAATCATCATCGAATTAATTGAATGGAATCATCGAATGGTCTCGAATGGAAACATTATCAAATGAAATCAAAAGGAATCATCGAATGGACTCTAAAGGAATCTTTGAATGGACGCGAATGGAATCTTCATCGAATGGACTCAGATGGAATCATCGAATGGACTTGAATGGAATCATCGATTGGACTCAAATGGAATTATAGAATGTCCTCGAATGGAATCATCGAAAGGACTCGAATGGAATCATTATTGAATGGAATAAAATGGAATCATCGAATGGAATTGAATGGAATCATTGAATGGAAATGATCGGAATCATCATCAAATGGAATGAAATGGAATCATCGAATGGAATTGAATGCAGTCATCATCGAATAGAATCGAATTGAATCATCAAATGGAATCGAATGGAATCATCATCAAATGTAATCGAATGGAAACTTCAAATGGAATCAAATGGAATCATCGAATTGAATTGAAAGAAATCAGCATTGAACAAAATCGAATGGAATCATCATCGAATAGAATCGAATGGAATCATTGAATGGAATCATCATCAAAGGGAGTCCAATGGAATCATCAAATGGACTCGAAAGGAATCATCAAATGGAGCCAAATGAAATCATCATCAAATGGAATCAAATGAAATCATCATCAAATGGAATCAAATGGAATCATCACTGAATGGAATCGAATGGAATCATCGAATGAAATCATATGGAATCATCATCGAATGGAATCGAATAGAAGCATCGAATGAAATCGAATTAAATCATCATCAAATGGACTCGAATGGAATCATCATCAAATGGACTCGAATGGAATCATCGTCCAATGGAATCGATTGGAAGCATCATCGAATGGAATCGAATGTAAGCATCATCGAATTGAATCAAATCAAATCATCATGGAATTAAAACGAATGGCTCATGATCGAATTGAACCAAATGGAATCATCATCGAATGGATTCAAATGGAATCATCAAATGGAATGGAATGGAATCATCATCAAAAGGAATCAAATGGAACCATTGAATGAAATCGAATGGAATCATCAGCGAATGGAGTCGAATGGAATCATCATAGAATGGAATCTAATGGAATCATCAACGAAGGGAATCAAATGGAATCATCATAGAATGGATACAAATGGAATCAACAACGAATGGAATCGAATCGAATCATTGAATGGAATCCAATGGAATCATCATCAAATGGAACCGAATGGAATCATTGAATGGACTCAAATGGAATCATCATCGAATGGACTCGAATGGAATCATCATCGAATGGAATCGAATGGTGTCATCGAATGGACTCAAATGGAATCATGGAATGGACGTGAAAGGAATCATTGAATGGAATTGAATGGAATCATCATCGACTGGAATCGAATGAAACCATTGAATGGACTCGAATGGAATCATCATCGAACGAAATCGAATGTAAGCATTGAATGGAATCGATGGAAACATCATCGAATGGAAACGAATGGAATCATTGAATGGAATCAAATGGAAACATCAATGAATGGAATCATCGAATGGCATTGAATGAAGTCATCATCAAATGGAATAGAATGGAGTCATCATCGAATGACATCGAATGGAAACATCGATTGGAATAGAATGGAATCATCATCGAATGGAAACGAACAGAATCATCGAATGAAATTGGATGGAATCATCATTGAAAGGAATCCAATGGAATCATGAATGAAGGGAATTGAATGGAATCATCATCAAATGGAATTGAATGTAACCATCGAATGGACTTGAATGGAATCATCATCAAATGGAAACGAATGGAATCATCGAATGAACTCGAATGGAATCATCATCAAATGGAATCGAATGGTGTCATCGAATGGACTCAAATGGAATCATCGAATGGACTCGGAATCATCGAATGGAATCAAAAGGAATCATCAACGAATGTAATCGAATGGAATCATAGAATGGAATCCAGTGTAGTCATCTTCTAATTGAACCCAACGGAATCATTAAATGGACTCTCATGGAATCATCGAATGGACTCAAATGGAATCATCTTCGAATGGAATAGAATGGAATCATCGAATACAATAGAATGGAATCATCAAATGGACTTGAATGGAATCATCATCGAATGGAATTGAACGGAATCATCAAATGGACTTGAATGGAATCATCATCGAATGGTATCAAATGGAATAATTGAATTTACTCAAATGGAATAATCATCAAATGGAACCGAATGGAATCATCATTGAATGGAATTGAAGGGAATCATCAAATAGACTTGAATGGAATCATCATCAAATGGTATCAAATGGAATAATTGAATTTACTCAAATGGAATAATCATCAAATGGAACCGAATGGAATCATCATTGAATGGAATCAAATGGAATCGTCATCGAATGGAATCAAATGGAATCATCACCGAATGGGGAATCTAATGGAATCATCATGTAATGGAATCGAAAGGAATCATCAACGAATGGAATCAAATGGAGAAATCGAATGGAATCCTTTGGAATCATCATCAAATGGAACCAAATGCAGTCGTCATCAAATGGAATCGAATGGAATCATCATGGAATAGAATCAAATGGAATCATTGAATGGAATGGAATGGAATCATCATGGAAAGGAATCGAAGGGAATCATCGAATAGAATCGAATGGAATCATTGAATGGAATTGAAGGGAATGATCATCGAATGGACTCAAATGGAATTATCATCAAAAGGAATCAAATGGAATCATCGATTGAACTCTAATGGAATAATCAGATGGACTCCAATGGAATCATCAAATGGAATCATTGAATGGACTCGAATGGAATCATCATCAAATGAAATTGGATGGAATCAACTAAGGGACTCGAATGGAATCATCAAATGGACTCGAATGGAATCATCATTGAATGGAATCGAATGAAATCATCGAATGGACATGAATGGAATCATAATCGAATGGAATCAAATGGGATCATCATGAAATGGAATAGAATGGGATCATCATCAAAAGAAATCCAATGGATTCACTGAATGGACTCGAATGTAATGATCAAATGGACTCGAATGGAATCATCAAATGGAATCGAATGGAATCATTGAATGGACTCGAATGGAATTATTGAATGGACTCGAATGGAGTCATTGAATGGACTCTAATGGAATCATCATAAAATGGAATCTTATGGAATCATCAAATGGACTCGAAAGTAATCATTGAATGAACTTGAATGAAGTCATCGAATCAAATGGAATCCTCGAATAGAATCAGATGGAATCATCAAATGGAATAGAAAGGAATCATCATCGAATGGAATCATATAATGGAATCGAATGGAATCATCGTCAAGTGGAATCATTGAATGGAATCGAATGGAATCATCGGAGAATGGAATCAAATAGAATCATCAAATGGACTCGAATGGAATCATCATCGAATGGAATCTAATGGAATCATTGAATGGACTCGAATGGAATCATCATTGAATATAATCAAAAGCAATCATCTAATGGATTTGAATAGAATCATCAAATGGACTCGAATGGAATCATCATCAAATGGAATCAAATGGAATCATTGAATGGACTCGAATGGAATCATCATTGAATGGAATCCAATGGAATCATCAAATGGAATTGAATGGAATCATCACTGAATGGAATCAAATGGAATCATCAAATGGACTCGAATGAAATCATTATCGAATGGAATCGAATGGAATCATTGAATGGAATCAAATGGAATCATCATCGAATGGAATCGAATGGAATCACTGTATGGACTCGAATGGAATCAACATCAAATGGAATTGAAAGGAATCATCTAATGGACTCGAAAGGAATCATCATTGAATGAAATTGAATGAAATCACCAAATGGAGACGAAAGGAATCATCATCAAATAGAATTGAATGGAATCATTGAATGGCCTCAAAAGGAATATCGTCGAATAGAATCAAAAGCCGTCATCGAATGGACTGAAATGGAATTATCGAATGGACTCGAATGGAATCATCAAATGGAATCGAATGGAATCATCATTGTATGGAATCGAGTGGAATCATCGAATGGACTCGAATGGAATCATCGGAGAATGGAATCAAATAGAATCATCAAATGGACTCGAATGGAATCATTATCGAATGGAATCGAATGGAATCATTGAATGGACTCGAATGGAATCATCATCGAATATAATCAAAAGCAATCATCAAATGGATTTGAATAGAATCATCAAATGGACTCGAATGGAATCATCATCGAATGGAATCAAATGGAATCATCGAATGGACTCGAATGAAATCATCATCGAATGGAATCCAATGGAATCATCAAATGGAATCGAATGGAATTATTATTGAATGGAATCAAATGGAATCATCAAATGGACTCGAATGAAATCATTATCGAATGGAATCGAATGGAATCATTGAATGGACTCGAATGGAATCATCATCGAATGGAATCAAATGGAATCATCAAATGGACTCGAATGGAATCATCATCGAATGGAATCAAATGGAATCATCGAATGGACTCGAATGAAATCATCATCGAATGGAATCCAATGGAATCATCAAATGGAATCGAATGGAATTATCATTGAATGGAATCAAATGGAATCATCAAATGGACTCGAATGAAATCATTATCGAATGGAATCGAATGGAATCATTGAATGGAATCAAATGGAATCATCATCGAATGGAATCGAATGGAATCACTGTATGGACTCGAATGGAATCACCATCAAATGGAATTGAAAGGAATCATCTAATGGACTCGAAAGGAATCATCTAATGGACTCGAAAGGAATCATCATTGAATGAAATTGAATGAAATCACCAAATGGAGATGAAAGGAATCATCATCAAATAGAATTGAATGGAATCATTGAATGGCCTCAAAAGGAATATCGTCGAATGGAATCAAAAGCTGTCATCGAATGGACTGAAATGGAATTATCGAATGGACTCGAATGGAATCATCAAATGGAATCGAATGGAATCATCATTGTATGGAATCGAGTGGAATCATCGAATAGACTCGAATGGAATCATCGGAGAATGGAATCAAATAGAATCATCAAATGGACTCGAATGGAATCATTATCGAATGGAATCGAATGGAATCATTGAATGGACTCGAATGGAATCATCATCGAATATGATCAAAAGCAATCATTAAATGGATTTGAATAGAATCATCAAATGGACTCGAATGGAATCATCATCGAATGGAATCAAATGGAATCATCGAATGGACTCAAATGAAATCATCATTGAATGGAATCCAATGGAATTATCAAATGGAATCGAATGGAATTATCATTGAATGGAATCAAATGGAATCATCAAATGGACTCGAATGAAATCATTATCAAATGGAATCAAATGGAATCATTGAATGGAATCGAATGGAATCATCATTGAATGGAATCGAATGGAATCACTGTATGGACTCCAATGGAATCATCATCAAATGGAATTGAAAGGAATCATTTAATGTACTCGAAAGGAATCATCTAATGGACTCGGAAGGAATCATCATTGAATGAAATCGAATGGAATCACCAAATGGAGATGAAAGGAATCATCATCGAATAGAATAGAATGGAATCATTGAATGGACTCAAAAGGAATATCGTCGAATGGAATCAAAAGCCGTCATTGAATGGACTGAAATGGAATTATTGAATGTACTTGAATGGAATCACCGAATGGATTCGAATGGAATCATCATTGAATGGACTCAAATGGAATGATCGAATGGACTCGAATGGAATCATGGATTGGATTCAAATGGAATTATCGAATGGGCTCGAATGGAATCATCGAATGGACTCGAATGGAATCATTATCGAATGGAATAAAATGGAATAATCAAATGAATTGAATGGAATCATCGAATGGAATCGATCGGAATCTTCATCGAATGTAATAAGATGGAATCATCGAATGGAATCGAATGCAGTCATCATCGAATGGACTCGAATAGTATCATCATCGAATGGAATCGAATGGAATCATCAAATGGATTTGAATGGAATCATCATCGAATGGAATCTAATGGAATAATCGAATGAACTGGAATGGAATCATCGAATAGAGTTGAATGGAATCATCATCAAATGAAATAGAATGGAATCATAGAATAGCATCGAATGGAATCATCGTCGAATGGAGTCGAATGGAATCATCAAATGGACTCGAACGGAATCGTCACGGAATGTAATCGAATGGAATCTTCGAATGGACCCAAATGGAATCATCATCGAATGCAATCGAATGGAATCATCATCGAATGGAATCGAATGGAATCATCATCGAATGGAATAAAATGTAATCATAGAATTGAATAGAATGGGATCATCATCGAATGGAATCAAATAGAATCATTGAATGAAATCGAATGTAATCATCATCGAGTGGAATCTAATGGAATCATTGAATTGAATAGAATGGAATCATCATCGAATGGAATCAAATAGAAGCATTGAATGAAATTGAATGGAATCAACATCGAGTGGAGTCGAATGGAATCATCAACGAATGGAATCGAATGGAATCATAGAATGGAATCCAATGTAATCATCATTGAATTGAACCCAATGGAATCATTAAATGGACGCGAATGGAATCATCAAATGGACTCAAATGGAATCATCATCGACTGGAATAGAATGGAATCATCAAATACAGTCGAATGGAATCATCATCGAATGAAATCAAATGGAAGCAACGAATGGACTCGAATGGAATCATCATCGAATTGAATCCAATGGAATCATTGAATGAACTCGAATGGAACCATCATCGAGTGGAATTGAAAGGAAACATCAAATGGACTTGAATGGAATCATTGAATGGACTCAAATGGAATCATCATTGAATGCAATCGAATAGAATCATTGAATGGCATCGAATGGAATCATCATCAAAAGGAATCGAATGGAATCATCGAATGGACTCGAATGGAATCACCATTGAATGGAATCAAATGGAATCATCATCAAATGGAATCGAATGTAAGCATTGAATGGACTTGAATGGAATCATCATCGAATGGAATTGAATGGAATCATTGAACGGAATCGAATGGAATCATTGAGTGGCATCAAATGGTATCATCATCAAATGGAATCATCGAATGGAATTGAATGGAATCATCATCAAATGAAATCAAAGGGAATCATTGAATGGCATCGAAAGGAATCATCATCCAATGGAATCAAATAGAATCATCTAACGGACTCGTTTGGAATCATCATCGAATAGAATTGAGTGGAATCACCGAATGGACATGAATGGAATCGTCATCAAATGGAATCAAATGGAATCATAATCAAATGGAGTCAAATAGAATCATCATAGAATGGAATCGAATGGAATCATCAAATGGAATAGAATGGAATCATCATCAAATGGAATCAAATAGAATCATCGAATGAAATCAAATGGAATCATCATCAAATGGAATTGAATGGAATCATAATCGAATGAATCGAATGGAATCATCATCGAATGGAATCGAATGGAATCATCAATAAATGGAATCGCATGGAATCATCGAATGGAATCTAATGGAATCATCATCACATGGAACCGAATGGAACCATCATGCAGTGGAATCTAATGGAATCATCATCGAATGGAATCCAATGGGATCACTGAATTGAATGGAGTGATCATCGAATGGAATCAAAGGGAATCATCAAATGGGATCGAAAGGAATCATCGAATGGAATCGAATGGAATCATCAAATGGATTCGAATGGAATCATCATCAAATGGAATAGAGTGGAATCATCGAATGGACTCGAGTGGAATCATCATTGAATGGAATCAAATGGAATCATTGAATGGACATGAATAGAATCATCATTGAATGGAATCCAATGGAATCATTGAATGGACTCAAATGGAAATATCCTCAAATGGAACCAAATGGAATCATCGAATGGCATCGAATAGAATCATCAATGAATGGTATCTAAGGGAATAATCAAATGGACTTGAATGGAATCATCTAATGGACTCGAGTGGAATCATCATCGAATGGACTCAAATGGAATCATCGAATGGACTCGAATGGAATCATCATCGAATGGAATTGAATGGAATCATCAAATGGACTTGAATGGAATCATCATCAAATGGAATCTAGTGGAATCAGAGAATGGACTCGAATGGAATCATCATGGAATGGAATGGAATGGAATCATCGAATGGACTCGAATGGAGTCATGATCGAATGGAATCTAATGGAATCTTCGAATGGACTCAATTGAAATCATCATCAAATGCAAGTGAATGGAATCATCATCGAATGGAATCGAATGGAATCATCATCGAATGGAATCGAATGGAATCATCATCGAATGGAATCGAATGGAATCATCATCGAATGGAATCGAATGGAATCATCATCGAACAGAATCGAATGGAATCATCATCGAATGGAATCGAATGGGATCATCATCGAATGGAATAGAATGGAATCATCCAATGGAATAGAATTGAAACATCATCGAATGGGATCGAATGGAATCATTGAATGAAATTGAATGGAATCATCATCTAATGGAATAAAATGGAATCATCATCGAATGGAATTGAATGGATTCATCGTCCAATGTAATTGAATGGAATCATCATCGAATGGAATCAAATGGAATCATCATCAAATGGAATCGAATGGAATCAGCAACGAAAGAAATCGAATGGAATCATAGAATGGAATCCAGTGTAATCATCATCGTATTGAACTCAATGGAATCATTAAACGGACCCGAATGGAATCATTAAGTGGACTCGAATGGAATCTTCATCAAATGGAATAGAATGGAAACATTCAATGCAATTGAATGGAATCATCATTGAATGAAATCAAATGGAATCATCGAATGGACTCAAATGGAATCATCATTGAATGGAATCGAATGGAATCATCGAATGGACTCGAATGGAATCATCATCGAATGAACTCAAAAAGAATGATCGAATGGACTTGAATGGAATCATCATTGAATGGACTCAAATGGAATGATTGAATGGACTCGAATGGAATCATGGATTGGACTCAAATGGAATTATCAAATCGGCTCGAATGGAATCATCGAATGGACTCCAATGGAATCATTATCAAATGGAATCATCGAATGGAATTGAATGGAATCATCGAACGTAATCGATCGCAATCTTCATCGAATGGAATCAAATGTAATCATTGAATGGAATTGATTGCAGTCATCATTGATTGGAATCAAATGGAATCATCCTCAAATGTAATCAAATGGAATCATCAAATGGAATCAAACGGAATAATCAAATGGAATTGAATGGAATCAGCATCAAATGATATCGAATGGAATAATCATCGAATAGAATCGAATGGAATCATTGAATGGAATCATCATCAAATGGAGTCAAATGGAATCATCAAATGGACTTGAATGGAATCATCATAGAATGGAATTGAATGGAATCATTGAGTGAAATCGAATGGATTCATCATTGAATGGGATCGAATGGTATCATGGAATGCACTCAGATGGAATCATCAACTAATGGTATCAAATGGTATCATTGAATGGAAACGAATGGTATCATCTTCAATTGGAATCAAAAGGAATCACTGAAAGGACTCGAATGGAATAATCATCAAAAGGATTCAAATGGAATCATTGAATGGAATCGAATGGAATCATCATCAGATGGAATTGAATGGAATTATCGAATGGACTCGAATGGAATCATCATCGTATGGAATCGAATGGAATCATCATTGGATGGCATCAAATGGAATCACCATCGAATGGCATAGAAAAGAATCAACATCAAATGGAGTCAAAAGGAATCATCATTGAATGGAATCCAAAGGAATCATCATCGAAAGGAACCAAATGGAATCATCATCGAATGGAATCGAATGCAATCATCGAATGGAATTGAATGGAATCATCATCGAATGAATTGAATGGAATCATCGAATGGTCTCGAATGGAATCATTATCAAATGGAATCGAATGGAATCACCAAATAGAATCGAATGGAATAATCATCGAATGGACTCGAATTGAATTATCATCAAATGGAATCGAATGGAATTATTGAATGGAATAGAATAGAATCATCGAAAGGACTCGAATGGAATCATCGAATGGAATGGAATGGAATAATCAATGAACTCGAATGGAATCATCATTGAATGGAATCAAATGGAATCATCGAGTGGAATCGAATGGAATCATGATCAAATGGAATCGAATGGAATCATCATTGATTGGAATCGAAAAGAATCATCATCAATTGGAATTGAATGGAATCGTCATCAAATGGAATCCAAAGGAATCATCATTGAATGGAACCGAATGGAATCATCATTGAATGGAAACGAAAGGAGTCATCATCAAATGGAATCGCATGGAATCATCATTGAATGGAATCATCATCAAATGGAATCTAATGAAATCATCAAATGGAATTGAATGGAATCGTCATCGAATGAATTGAATGGAATCATCGAATGGTCTCGAATGGAATCATCTTCAAATGGAATAGAATGGAATCATCACATAGAATCCAATGGAATTATCATCGAATGGACTCAAATGGAATCAACATCAAACGGAATCAAATGGAATTATCGAATGGAATCAAAGAGAATCATTGAATGGACTCGAATGGAATCATCAAATGGAATGGAATGGAATAATCCATGGACTCGAATGCAATCATCGTCGAATGGAATCGAATGGAATCATCAAATGGACTCGAATGGAATCATCATCGAATGGAATCGAATGGAATCATCATTGGATGGAAACGAATGGAATCATCATCGAATGGAATCGAACGGAATCATCGAATGGAATCAGATGGAATCATCATCAAATGGAATCGAATAGAATTATGGAAGGAAATCGAATGTGATCATCATCGAATGGACTCGAATGGAATCATCATCCAATGGAAACTAATGGAATCAACATCGAATGGAATAGAATGGAAACACCATCGAATTGAAACGAATGGAATTATCATGAAATTGAAATGGATGGACTCATCATCGAATGGATTCGAATGGAATCATTGAATGGAATTGATTGGAATCATCGTCAAATGGAATCAAATGGAATCATTGAATGGAATCGAATGGAATCATCTTCGGATGGAAACGAATGGAATCATCGAATGGAATCAGATGGAATCATCATCAAATGGAATCAAATAGAATTATGGAATGAAATCGAATGTGATCATCATCAAATGGACTCGAATGGAATCATCATCCAATGGAAACTAATGGAATCAACATCGAATGGAATAGAATGGAAACACCATCGAATTGAAACGAATGGAATTATCATGAAATTGAAATGGATGGACTCATCATTGAATGGATTCGAATGGAATCATTGAATGGAATCGAATGGAATCATCTTCGGATGGAAATGAATGGAATCATCATAGAATGGAATCGAATGGATTCATTGAATGGAATCAGATGGAATCATCAAATGGACTTGAATGGAATCATCGAATGGACCTGAGTGGAATCATTATTGAATTGAATGGAATCATCAAACGGTCTCGAATGGAATCATCATCAAATGGAATCGAATTTAATCATCGAATGGAATCGAATGGAATCATCATCAAATGGAATCGAATAGAATCGGCATCAAATAGAATTGAATGGAATCATCATCAATGGAATCGAATGGAATTTTCTTCAAATGTAATCGAATGGAAACATCATTGAATAGAATCAAATGGGATCATTGAATGAAACAGAATGGAATCTTTATCAAAACGAATCAAAATAAAACAAAGAATGGAATCCAATGGAATCATCGAATGGAATCAAATGGAATCATCATTGAACGGACTTGAATGGAGTCATCATCAAATGGAATCAAATGGAATCATTTAATGGACTCGAATGGAATCATTGAATGGACTCGAATGGAATCATCGAATGGAATCCAATGTAATCATCATCGAATGAAATCAAATGTAATCATCAAATGGAATCAAATGGAATCATCATCGAATGGAATCGAATGAAATCATGGAATGCACATGAATGGAATCATCGAATGGACTCAAATGGAATCAACATTGAGTGGAATCGAAAGAAAACATCAAATGGAGTTGAATGGAGTAATCAGATGGAATCATTGAATGGAATAGAATGGAATCATCGAATGGACCCGAAAGGAATCATCATCGAATGTAATCAAATGGAATCATCGAATGGAATCCAATGGAATCATCATTGAATGGAATCGAATGGAATCATCATCGAATGGAATCAAATGGAATCGTCATCGAATGGAATCATCATTGAATGGAATCATCAGTGAATGGAATCAAATGGAGTCATCAAATGGAGTCCGTTAGAATCATCATCAAATGGAACCGAATGCAGTCGTCATCTAATGGAATCAAATGGAATTATCGAATGGACTCAATGTAATCTTCATCGCATGGAATCGAATGGAATCATTGAATGGACTCAAATGGAATTATCATCGAATGGAATCGAATGGAATCATTGATTGGACACGAATGGAATCACCATCGAATGGAATAGAATGGAATCTTCGAATGGAATCGAATGAAATTATTGAATGGAATTGAATAGAATCATCATTGAATAGAACCGAATTGGATCATCATCGAATGGAGTCTAATGAAATCATCATCGAATGGAATCTAGTGGAGTCATCATCTAATGGAATGGAATGGAATGGAATCAGCAAGGAATGGAATCTAATGGAGAAATTGAATGGAATCCGTTGGAATCATCATCGAATGGAACCGAATGCAGTCATCATAGAATGGAATCGAATGGAATCAACAAAGGGACTCGAATTGTGTCATCATTAAATGGAATCAGATGGAATCATCAAATGGACTCGAATGGAATCATTGAATGGACTCGAATGGAAACATCATCGTATGGAATCGAATGGAATCCTCGAATGGACTCTAATGGAATCATCATCGAATGGAATCAAATGGAATCAAATTGAATCATTGAATGTACTCTAATGGAATCATCATCGAATGGAATCGAATGGAATTATCAAATGGACTCGAATGGAATCATTGAATGGACTCGAATGGAATCATCATTGCATGGAATTGAGTGGAATCCTCGAATGGAATCAAATGGAATCATCAAATGGAATTGAACAGATTTATAAGAAACTTACTTGAACCAAAATTAGAAAAACAAACAAACCAAAAGCCCCTAAAACTGTGATGAGCAAAGTAGACATCAGAATAGGAAATATCACTGGGGATGAAGAATAACATTTCAAAATGACAAAGGAGAAAATACACCAAGAATTCATGTAAATAAGTAATATGTATGCACACAATAGCATTACTTCAAAATACATAATATAAAACTATTAAAATTGAAAGGTAAAATAGTAAAACCACAGTCATCCATGGGGATTTCAACAGTCTCCCGCCAGAAATTTTTAAATTTTGTTAAGCGAAAAGTTGGTAAGGGTAGAGAGGATCTTAAAAATATAATTAGCCAACTTGATCTAATTGAATCTTTTAGAATAATCTAAGGATGAGGAATGAGGTAGCAGAGAAAGAAAAGGCAGACATCAACGTGACATTAGTGTTTCAAGACTATGAGAATACACCAATAATGGTGTGTGTGTGTGTGCAGATGGTAAGCTCAATCTTAAAAATATTGAGTTTTAACTGACAATTCATTATTAGGAAAGATAAGAGGAAATGATGTCTAGTGAGAGGCTATATGACTGAACTCTAAGAGAAAGGTCACAGCAGAAATTGTGTACTTGACAGCTCTATAAGGAGGTCAGTCAAAAATAAGTCATTGATGAATTCTCTGGTGTAAAAGCAGATGAATGAGAATTAGATTTAAAACACATGGAAGCAGAGTGACTTATGATAAAAACATGAGCTTGAAAATCCTGCAGAGAGGGCTTTAAATCCTGGGTATGATATTCTGCTTATGTAGGCAATAGTGGTAAAAACACAACAACAAAGAGAGGTAAAGAGCACTTTCCTTTGATATAAGTAAAGGGCACGTCTTATTGCACATATATATATAGGTATTCAACTGAGATTCAACATGTTTCTCTCATTGAAACAGCAAGCTCTCCAGGCCTTCATGTTTCCAGTGAGGTAGGTAAACTTCTGATGATTATACTCACCCTCCCTCATTGCAAAGCTCCCATTGTTATTGTCTTGGCTCTGGATTCCCTCAAAAATAGACTATGAAACAAATATCTGGGGTCAAATACTTTAATCAGAAATTGAGTGAGAAAGCACAGAAGTGGAGAAAATGAAACAGAACACGAAGCCAGTGTGAATGAGTACTTACTGCTATGTGCTCAGTAATGATGGAGGTATGGAGATTGTCTCAAAATAACTTTACAAAGAGATGGGGATGCTGGAATCCCCATCTCTTATTGCTTAAGGATTGCCTTAGAGTCATTAACTCTCCACCCCTAACTCCTTCTTTGTTCCTATGTGTGATTGAGAAGCACTGGTTAGCCTCAAGAAGCTTGCAGGTAAGCCCAAAAATCAGAAAGACAGGCATGATATGGGGAGCTCTCAGTTAGCTGGAAACAGGTGAATTTCAGGTGAACACATTAAGTCCAGGACATAGAAGACAAGTCATCAGCAATACCTGCTATAGCCAGTTTTCTTTGTCTTTTTAAGAATATACATACTTTTTATTGGGGTTTCCCAAGTCCCCCTTTGGTTTAATGATTCACATAACTCAAGAAAGCTTATTTTTTTTGTGGTTATAGTTTCTAACTGTGAAAGAAAACAGATTAAAATAATCAGAAGCATAAAAGCACATAAAGTTGAGTCCAGGACAAACCAGATGTGAGCTTACAGGTGTCCTTTCATAGTGGGGACTTCACACTGACTAATTTTCTTTACAATGGTGTGAGACAACATGTGCGAACTTGTTGCCAACTAGGGAAGCTCAGTCAGTCTTGAGTCCAGGGTTTTTATTAGGATTCCACCACATATGCATCGAACGTCCTGTGACTGAACTTAGCTACTTAGTTCCCAACCTCCCTATGCCCTAAGAGAGGTCATATTAATATGGCATTACACAAAGTCATAGGCATACAGAAACAGGTGCTCACAAGAAATCACGTTGTTAGCATCAGCTATTTGGTATGACCTACGTTTTCAGGTATACAAAGACTCTCATCAGGCAGCATATACCAAGGGCTCATAGGTTATCATCTCCCAGGAGCTTGTCAAGGGCCAGTCCTGAAGACCTTTGGAATGTGCAAGGTTTTGGAAAGCCATGTCTGCAGAATTAACCGTTCATTATACACCTTCCAAGAATTTTTTTATCTTTAAAAATGTTTTTTGATCTTTGACAATGTACCAACCAATACTGAGTAATTAGTAACAACAGTGTACTCCTGAGTACTTGCACCTGCAAGGAGAAAAAGGACAGATGCACTTACATAGGACAGATGCAAATAGACACCACGATGACAAGTAAAGCTGGAATAATCAATAAATTCCTAAAGACAAAGTGGGGCTGGTGAGATTGGGAGACCGCTGACAGCTGCAGAAGTTGGGAAAGATCCATCATCTTGAAAACGTTTTCCCCACAAACCCACTGTGATCTCTCAGGCAATTGGTAAGGAATCCAAGAGAGTCTGTATATGACACAGATCAGGGAGAGCAGAACACTTGGGAGGTGACCAGGTCTTGGGGGCCGAGCCCTTATGAATGGGATTAGTGCCTTTATAAAAGAAGCTCAATGGAGTTATTGTGTGCCTTCCACTGTCTGAGGACATAGAAAGAAGGCACCATCTATGAACCATGAAATGGGCTCTCATCAACACTGAATTTGTGAGCATCTTGACCTGAGATCTTACAGCCTCAAGAAGTGTGAAAAAAGAAATATCTGTTGTTTTTTAGTCACCCAGTTTATGTTATTTTGTTATAAGAGTCCAAATAGACCAAGATATTCCACTTAATATGTAGGGGAAGGCAACAAAAACTGCCACACTTAGAATACTCCTGATGCTGGGAGTATGAAAACAGGAAAAACAAAACAAAACTGCTCTTGAAGGTGAAGGAGGAATATCACTGAGCTCACCAACACAGCCAGGAAAAGAACAGAAGTGTGAGAAGGCTACATTCCTGAGACCCTGAGAAAAAGTACCTGCATAAGACTGAGTGAAATTACCTACTCTAGTTATGATTGAAATCCCAAAAAGAAAAGAGGAAAAAATAATGGAGCAAAAGAAATATATTTCAAAATAACTGCCAAAAATATTCTAAAAGAAGTGACAGAAAATCAAACTTCAGATATAGGAAACTCAGAGAATGTCAAATAGAACAAAAAGAAATAAGAATTCCATCTTGAAAAATCTTTAAAAAATCAAGTCTAAATTTTATATCTTGCTCCAAATATATAGAGATAGAAATAGGTTATCATCAAGATATGGAGAAAGCCATATCATGGAAACACTGAAATAAAGCTGTGGAAGGACTACATTGATATTAGACACAACAGAGTTCAGAACAAGAAATAGTATCAGAGATGAGAGATAATAGATAATATAATAATCAATTCTCAAGATGTAAACATCCTACTAATTAGGGTATGCAGCTAACAACAGAGCCTCCAAATACATGAGGTAAAACAGGAAAGAAATCAAAGGTGAACTAGAAAAACCCAAAATTATATTTGCAGACTTCAACACTTTTGTCTTAGTAATGGACAGACTAGGCACAAACTCAGTAATCATGTGGAAGATAAGAACAACAATATCACCAACAAGACATCCAATCTTCAATGGCAGATACTCTTTCCTTTCAAGTGAGAAAAAAACAGTATGGCATATTCTCTAACAAACCCAGAATTTCTAATATTTGCGTTCTTCCTTCCTTCTTTCCATCTTCCTTTCTCCTCTTCCCTTGCCTTCTTCCTTCCTTTCTTCTTTTCCGCTTTCTTTTCCTTTCATTTTTCTCCTTCCTTCCTTCCCCTTATTCTTCCCTCCCTCCTCCCTCCCTTGCTTTCTCCCTCCCTTTTCTTCCTTCTTTTCTCTTACTCTTTCTCACTTTCTTTCCTTTTTCTCCCTTCCTCCCTTTTTTCCTTCCTCCCTCCCTTTCCCTTCTCCTTCCTTCCTCCCTTCTATTTTCTTTGTTTGCCTTCCTCCCTTTTACCATTCTCTCTTCCTCCTTCCTTCTTTTCTCACTTTCTTTCTCTTTCTTTCTTGAGTTCTTGCTTTCTTTTTTCTCCTTTCCTGCCTTTCTCCCTTCCTCCCTCCCTCCCTTCTCTCATTTCCTCCTTTTCTTTCTTCTTTCCTTCCTTCCTTCTTTTTTCTTTCTTTTCTTTCTCTTTACTACAATCCATATTATTTAAAAAAAAATTAAGAAAGAGAGGCAGAAAAATAAAGATCACTTTAATCTTCAGGTAAATAGATTATGTCTGTTGTAGACAAAATAATGGCCTCCCAGAAATGTTCATGTCCTAATTCCCGGAGTCTAACATACAAATATGTTAGGTTGCATGGCAGTGGGAAGTCAGATTTCAAGTGAAATTAAGGTTCCAAAGGCAGCGGGGGCAAAAAGCCACGGCGGCAAAAAGGCGTGGCGGCAGGGGCAAAAAGCCACGGTGGCGGTTGGAGAAAGACGTGGCGGTGGGAGCAAAAAGCCGCGCTGAGGGGGGTAAAAAGCCACTGAGGGGGGGCAAAAAGCAGCGGGAGCGGGGGAAAAAAAACACAAAAATCCGCCGCGGCTGGGGGAAAAAGCCGTGGTGGCAGGGGGCAAAAAACCTGCAGCGACGGGGGCGAAAACCTACAAAAAGCAAAGGCGGTGGGGACAAAAAGCCTCGGCAGCGGAGGCAAAAAACCGCGGTGGCGGGGACTAAAAGCCGCGGCGGTGGCGGTTAAAAAAAAAGCCTCAGCGGCAAAAACCCACGGCGGCGGGGGCAAAAACCCGCGGTGGTGGGGGAAAAAACAGCGGTGGCAAAAAGCCGTGGAAGCGGGGGTAAATAGCCCCGGCTGTGGGTGCAAAAAGCCGCAGCGGTGAGGGCAAAAAGCCGTGGCTTCGGGGGCAAAAAGCTGCAGCGGCAAAAAGCCGTAGTGGCGGGGCAAAAAGCCGTGGCGGTGGGGGGCAAAAAGCCGCAAAAAGCAGCGGTGGCGGGAACAAACACCGCGGCGGCAAAAAGCCTCAGCGGCAGGGGCGAAAAGCCACAAAAAGCCGCGGTGTCGAGGGTAAAAAGCTGTGGCTTCGGGGGCAAAAAGCAACTGTGGCAAAAAACCGTAGCAGTGGGGCAAAAAGCTGCGGCGGCGGGGGCAAAAAGCAGCAGGAGCGGGGGCAAAAAAAATCACAAAATCCCGCTTAGACGGGGGGAAAATTCACGGGGGCAAAAAGCCGCCCTGGCGGGGGGCAAAAAGCCGCAAAAAGCAGCGGCGGCAGGGGCAAAAACCGCGGCAGCAAAAAGCCTCAGTGGCAGGAGCCAAAAGCCACGGTGGTGGGGGCAAAAAGCCGCGGTTGAAAAGGCCGCGGTGGTGGGCCCAAAAAGCCGCGGCGGTGGGGATAAAAAGCTGTGACTGCAAAAAGCCATGGCGATAGGGATAAAAAGCCGTGGCAGGGGCAAAAAGCCACCGTGGCTGAGAGTAAAATGCCACAAAAAGCCGCGGCGGCGAGGGCAAAAAGCTGTGGCTTCGGGGGCAAAAAACCAAGGCGGCAAAAAGCCGTAGTGGCGGGGCAAAAAGCAGCGGGAGCGGGTGCAAAAAACCCACAAAAACCCGCGGCGACGGCGGGGGGAAAGCTGCGGGGGCAAAAAGCCACAAAAAGCAGCGGCGGCGGGGGCAAAAACTGCGGCGGCAAAAAGCCTCAGCGGCAGGAGCAAAAAGCCATGGCGGCGGGGGCAAAAAGCCGTGGCAGCAAAAAGCCACGGGGGCAAAAACCCGTGGCGGTGGGGGTAAAAACCCGTGGCTTCGGAGGCAAAGAGCCGCAGCGGCAAAAAGCCGTATTGGCGGGGGCAAAAAGCCGCAAAAAGCCGCGGCGGCGGGGGCAAAAAGCCACGGCGCCAAGGGCAAAAAGCCGTGGCTTCAGGGGCAAAGAGCCGCAGCGGCAAAAAGCTGCAAAAAGCCACGGTGACGTGGGGCAAAATGCCATGGCGGCGGGGGTAAGAAGCCACGGCGGCGGGGGCAAAAACCGCGGTGGGAGAAACCCGCAGTGGCGGGGGCAAAAAGCCGCGGTAGTGGTGATGAAAAGCCACAGCGGTGGGGGCAGAAAGCCGTGAGGCGGGGGAGAAAGCCGCAGCGGCGGGGGCAAAAAGGCACGGCGGCGGGTGCAAAAAGAGGCAACAAGCCCCGGTGGTGGGTCAAAGAGCCGCAAAAAGCCCCAGCGTTGGGGGTAAAAAGCCGCGGCGGCGGTGGCAAAAAGCAGCGGAGGCAAAAAACCCGCGGCGGTAGCGGCAAAAAGCCGCGGTGGCAGGGGAACAATAGTGGAAATGGGGTAGAAGGCCAACGGAGCTTGGCATTCCTGGACGGTGATGTGGAAGGAAAAGTGCAGCAGAAGACAAAGATGTAAGTAGGCTTGACTCAGTGCAGCTAAGAACTCAGATGTTATCTTGATGTTATCTATCAGCTAATTTTTTGTATTTTAGTAGAGAAGGGGTTTTACCACGTTAGCCAGGATTGTCTGGATCTCCTGACCTCATGATCCACGCACCTCAGCCTCCCAAAGTGATGGGATTAAAGGCATGAGCCACAAAGTGCTCAAAAAATCTATTAATTAAAAAATGTGTATGTAGCCGTCTTCAATCTACCATGTCCATTAGCAGATAAATACTACAAGTAAAATAACAACAATGAAATAAACATAGACTTAGAGTAGATACTCCGATTTATTTAATAAAAATTTGAAAGTAGACCAAATTATGATAAAAAAAATCTGTTACTATTGAGGATGAGGGTTAGTGTTTGGAAAGGGGCAGGAGAGGTATCACTATTTTTAATAATGTTCTATTTTCGTACATGGCTATAAGCAAATACATGTGTTTCATTAATCAAGCTATCATATTTAATCATTTTACTTTTCTGCATGTGTATGTCAATAAAATGTCTTAAATTATATACAGCAAAAATAGACAAAACCACAACAAGACATACACGAATGTTAAACCTAGAGAGAAATTTGAATATAAGTAAGTCTCTGAATGACTGCTAGAACAAACCGAAAAATAATCAGGATGGAGAGCTTTGGAACAGCATGACTAGCAAAATTGACATATCTGTCTTTTAATATAGGCAGAAACATAGTTACATAAAAAAAGGACTTGTCTCAGAGTATGAGTTCTGAAAATAGTGGAATCGAGTTTGAATCTAGTAAGTACATATAAACAAATGTCTTAAAACTCCTCTTTTGTTAACTAATTAAGAAATATTATTGTAATAGATATTAGAAAATATTTTAATAAATTGAGTGGATTTCACACGCTAAGGAAATGATCTTACTTGCATTTGATAGTTCAATTAGATACATATATACCTATAAGTAGTTTAAAAAATTTCTAATAACCTTCTATACTTTTAAAAAGCATTGATATCTGTTTGCACTATCTGGTCTATAGAGTGATTATAGCTCTTCTGCTATAAACTTCAAATGTCTAATTAATACAAAAATCTAGAATGAGAAGAGTTCTTTGCCTTTTTTTTTTTTTTTACCAAATAGAATATAGGAAGGATAGCTGCAAATATACCTGACACACTTATCTGTGAGTATGGTGGTAGCCTTTTTATTTTATTTTATTTTTGAGAGAGGGTCTCACTTTGTCACCCAAGATGGAGTGCAGTCATGTGATTAGAGCTCACTGAAGCCTTCACATACTGTGCTCAAGCAATTCTCCCACCTCAGCCTCCTGAGTAGCAGGGACTGCAGGTGCATAATACCATACTAGCTAATTTTTGTGAAGATGGGGTTTCACCATGTTGCCCTGGGTGATCTCCAACTCCTGGACTCAAGAGATCTGGCCACCTTGGCCTCCCAAAGTGCTGGGATTATAGTTTTGAGGCACTGCGATCAGCCCAGCCTTAAAAAAGGCTGACTAGAGATCTTTATCTATGTATATCTATATCTATCTATTAAAAAAGTGTTTATTATATAAAAATATATATTATTAATATTATATAAAAATTTTTTTTCAAGGTAGAAATATATAAAGAGGGTGCATGTAGAGCCTGGGTCATTGTGTAGTGAAGCTCAAGGCCTCTGAAGAAATGCCCCTTGCCTCTTTTGTCTGGGCTAGAATCCAAGAAGGGAAAGCAGCAGATGCACTGGTTCCCAGGTTCTTGGCATAATACAGAGAGAAACTTGTTTGAGCTAGGGTAGCGTTAAACACCCTTGTTCTTACTCTCCTGTTTTATGTAGTGAGCAGAGACTAGCTTCATGAGAACAGACTGTGACAGTCAAGGCTGTCTGATATTTTGTGCAGCATTAATTGAGAAATTCTAGCACCTGAAGACCTCTGGGCCATTTGAGGGTAGGTGCAGGGGAGGAAAGGGAAGTTTGCATCCCTCCTGCTGTGGAGAGAACCCGTGGGAAGCACAAACCTTGTCCTAACTGAAGGCAGACCCCCTTGCTAACCAGCTTCTCATCAGCCAACCCTGGATGAGTTTCCATGTCTATTTACTAAATAATCCTTATTGCTTTTCTTCATATGGGCAAAGTACGGTTTACAGGGAATATTGTTCCTTTGAACACCCATTGTGCAAACTCCTTCCTGTTGTGGGAAAACAGGCTTCCATATGTGTCTTATTGGGAAACACATAGGCAATTTCTATATTTTTACTGCATCTATTTCAGGGATAAGGGAACTGAATAGTGCCCATCAAAGGCTCACCTGATGTTGGAAATTGATCTGAGAGCGCGGAAGGACAGAATTCTTTCTTTGTTCCTGGGCAGCGGTGGTTGAGGGGTCATTTTGTGGCAGCTACAGTGGCAATGATGGAGGCAGAACGGAGGGCTCAGTACCAAGACGAGGAGAGACTTGGCCTCACAATGGCAGCATTGCAGGGGTGTGCTCTACAGAGCATTTGCTTACATGGTTTTGGGCATTGTTTCTAACTACATTGCTTCCCCAATAGGTTGACCCATTCTAAATAAATCCTTTTCTCTTTAAAACAGAAAACTTCATTTGTATGACTTGCAATTGTAAATGACACCAATTGGCCAGTTATCATTCAAATTCTCTGTTACTTAATCCTGCCTTTTCCTAACGTATGCAACTTTCCCCTAAAAAATTGGACACTTTGTTGCTTACTCATTGTCTTTACACATTTTAAAGTGTTGCTTTATGCCCCCAATCCCTACTACATTTTCGATGTTTTGCAAGTGGAGTCCATGTGTTCTTGATTTACATGAAGCTCAAAATAATGGTTACACTAACTAGTACTTCATAATTAAGCAAAAAGCTCTTATTGAAAAATGACAGAACTATACTTTGAGATGACAACATGGAGAGATATTTCCTGAGATCACAAAGTTATGGTATGGCAGAACTAGAACGTTGAGTAGAGACTCTGTGTTCCCAATCATTATTGCTATCACCAGCTTTCTATTTTGATGTTAATAATGTTCTTATGTGGGAAACCCTACATATTTGCCAATGTTTAGTTCATTGACAAAGAAATATAAAGAGCTTCAAGAACACTCTAATCTTTAAAAAATAAAATATCTATAATTGGCCATACGAAAAAATTGATACTTGACATATACAGAGATCGTTTTATTTTGTACTAGACAAATGAAGTCATAGAACAGAATGTGCTTTAAATATTATGAATAGTGCTTGTGTGTGTGTGTGTGTGTGTGTGTGTGTGTGTTTGTGTGTTTATACATGCATATTAGGCCGCTGAAAAGTTTTACTATTCTTTCCAGGAGAGAGACTGCCAACTTTTGAACCTAATTAGAACAAGTATATTGCTTCTTCATATTTTTATTAAGGCAAAGAGAGTCTAGTTAAAAATAATTCAACTTATCATGGAAACGCTGTAAATTGCTGTGAAGTGAGTTGCTGGCTATCGCTTGTCAGAGCAAATATATTGTACAAATCTTAGGGGAGAATTACTGCTTATGCATTCAAATCAAATCATCTTGCAGCACACTGAGAAAAAGTTTAGATTTTTAAAATAATTTCGAAGTCATGAAAAGAGCATATATGCTCAACAAAGAGCCTAGCAACCCTCAATGACCAATTCCCCTTTTATATAGTTTGGTATCTGAATTAGAATCTCAGAATCTACAAATTCCTCTGGGTATGGGTGCTGCATTTTGAGGATTTTATAACACTGCCATCACCAAGCTCTCTTTTGATATTCAATTTAAGGAGATAATTTGCGGGCAACCAGAGAGCATAAACCAAAGTAGATATCTATCTAGATAGATAGATACATCTCCATATCATTGACAGGATACCTTCTGGCCGAGTGTGAGTACAACCTATGGGTGTGGTTGGAGAGAACATGTGTTCCACCTGAATGGCAGATCAAGATTATTCCTTCTTATCTGCTGCAGTGGCTCAATGTGTTAAGGAGAGGAGCGAGACAGCAAGAACTGCATTCATTCAGTCATACAGACCAAAAGGAGGAATGTCGCCCAGCCCTCTAAACTGACCCAGAACCCAGCTCATGTCTCAACTGCTACCTCTACTACTTAGAAAGAAGTGACTCCGCCAAAGCAGGGTTCTGGACAAATATATTTTTATTGATCTTATACAAATAGATGAAGATGGACTTGGATGTTAAGAAAAATAATACTATACAAAATCAAGAGTAGACAGTCGCCCCTAGACTTAAATTAAAAGTGTGTACATTAGATAATTTAATCCAATGTATCAGGTAAAAACTTGAGCAAACCTTTTGGCCTCTTCCATAAAATTCAGGGAAGCATGTCCTCCACAAAACAGAATCAAAATATAAATGAAAGACTGGCTTAAGATGAAAGGAAACCTTATAAATGAAAAGAAGCCAGATGAGAGGCACTTAACTGATAATGAAAAAAAACTGAGTGGACAAAATAATTATGAGAAGATGAATCTTCAAATCAGAAAGAGGGAAAAAAGCTCATTTGATACTGTGGGAACTCAAAAGAGAGTGAACACAAATGTGAAAATTCCAACAGTACAGAAAAGTAGCATAACTAAATTAAGAGCATGAGAAAATGTATACAATTCTGAGTAATAAGAACAGAAATCAAAAGTTAGTATTGTATGTTATATTTTAGTAGAGCAACACTGAAGACGAATGAAAAGAAGAAATAATATTAAATATGAACATATGGAGAACAGAATAATATTTTTAAAATTTTTAGTTTCTAAGTTTACCTGAAATTTTAATTTTGGTTTCTTATGTAATACCAGAGTTATTAGGAAGGTATTAGCTAATAACACTATTTTCAGTGATATTTTAAGTATTTGTCCTAGAAAAATTTCTATTTTTTAAAAATGTATATTTAAAAATACATTAAGTGTGTACATACATCAATCATATGTATCGATTTCTTTTTTTTTGAATTGCAAATGAAATTTGTATTTTTGTTTTCCTGGAATAAAATAAACTTGAATGGATTGTAATATATTATTCATGCTGTAATTCAATGTATTTGAATTCTTTAAGAATGTTACATTTATAGTTAACAGATATTGACCTATAAATTTTCTTTCCTATAATGATGCTGTGAGACAATCTAAGAAGAATTAAAATTTAAATTCATGTATTCCTACTTTTTCCTCTGTTCTCTAACTGTAATATATTTTAATTACAGATATTTTAAGAACAGATAGATGTTAGATAAATAGGTATATAATAGATAGATCATCCAAAATTCTTATTCTTATGGTTTTATGTAGTCAGTATTTACCTCTATTTTTCTACATGTTTATCCTTCCAATTTAGTTCATTACTTCCTGCACCTTTGATGTCATATACATAAACAGGAAATAACACATGGTGGCCGGGTTGTAGAGAGAGCCACAGGACTTGTGAATAAAATCCACAGGCAAGGATGTGGCGATTCGTTTTGCAGTATTGGAGGGAATGCCAAACGCTATGTTTGCTGTGGAAAAGAGTATGGTAGTTCCTCAAAACATCAAAATGGTATTGCCATATGATTCAGCAGCGCCACATCTCAGGATAGCAAAAGAATTGAAAGCAGAGTCTTGAAAAAATATTTGCACATCCATGTTTGCAGCAGCGTTATTGGCAATAGCTAAAACGTAGAAGCAATTGAAGTGTCCAACAACAGATGAATGGATAAGCACAATATGATATAGGCATACAATGGAATATTATTCAGCCTTAAACATGAGGGAAATATTCTGACATATGTTGCAACTTGGATGAAACTTGAGGATATTATGCCAAGTGAAATAAGTTAGTCAGTGAAGGACAAATACAGTATAATTCCATTTGTATTAAAGTGGTCAGAATCATAGAGATGGTACAATGATGGTTGCCAGAAGCTGGGGGGAGGAAGAAATGGGGAAGTATTGTTTAATGGGTATAGAGTTTCAGTTTTACAAGATGAAAAGAATTATGGAGATGGATGGTAGGGACGGCTGCACAATGTTATGACTATATTTAGTACCACTGAACTGTACACTTAAAATGGTTAACAGAGTACATTTTATATGTATTTTACCACAATAAAAAAATAAAATACCTTTGGAACATTTTCATGAAAAAGCCCACATAAAATTCATTTTAATGCACGTGTTTATGCATAGCTTTCTATTTTTCTCTTTTCTCTTTATATTCCAAATTCTAATCAGAGAAGGGAATCCCCTCTGTACCTCCAGGATATTCAGTAAAGACCACTGGAGGTTCATGCCCTAGTAACAGTGCTCATTTAGCTCCAAATTACAGATGGCTCTAGACTCACTCCACAAAGTTTAAAGAGAAGATTTAAAACAACAACAGACAAATACTCATCCTGAAGTTACTGAACTGCCTGCCACAACATTGTTCAAAGGTAGCCAATAAAATCTAGATATTCAATAGCATAACATCAAAATACCCAAAAAAAACCTCTGACATGCAAAGAAGCCGTAAGATGTATATAATTAAGATATATATTAACAGGATAAAAATAAGTCATTTATAAATGACAGAAAAGAAGGAAATTTCAAGGTCCTTAAAGTAAATATATTTTATAAATACATATAGATAAATACATATATATGTCAAGGTACTTAAATGAAAATTGAACATAGGAGAAAAATAGAAGTTATAAAATGAAAAATGGGACATGTATAGATGAAAAAAATTTGAAATAAAAATTCCATGAGATTGAATAAGTAATGGATTTTACCCTAACATCAGAAAATTTATAGAAAAAAATAGAAGCTTTACAAACTAAAGGACAAAGGGTAAACTAAAGTAAGAAAGCCAGAAACTCACTGATACGTCAGACAATATGCAGCAGTGTAACATACGGGAGGATAGCTTTAGATTTCTAAGGGAGGGTATTATCCATTCATGAAGGTCCAACCCCATGACCAAACACCTCCCAGTAAGCCCCACCTGCAACATTGGGGATCAAATTTTAACATGAGATTGGAAGGGGCAAGCATTCAAACCATAGCAAGAGTTAAATTTCCTTTTTAAAAAAATCACTGATATGATTCCATTTCGCCATAGATAAAAGCTAGTATTTCAGCCTACCATTGAGTGTGCTTATAGCTCACCAAAAAGGCACTCTGTCTAGGGAATACAGATTTGCCTAGAGGTATCCTAGTGCAGTCAAAGAAAGAGCAATGAGGGATAGAAAAGGTTAGTGATGGAGACACCAGCGCTGCATTTTGCAACAAACAATGTAAAAATTTTACGGATTGGTTCAGCTAACTTACTACAGTTTACATTCCTCTCAGTTGGGAGAATTGTTGCGTTTTTTCTCAAGATAGAAAAGCAATTCAGATAATCTGAAATCTCCACAAGAAGGACAAGAAGCACAGCAGAAACTATTCTAGGCAGGAAGTCAATCCTTTCAACTGTCTGTGCTCCATAGAAACAATTGTCTGCACTGGGAGTCATATGAGGCACAGACAACAGCCAGACCTCTGATCCTCTCATTAGTGATTTCAGAAGAAATTACCAGTCAACTGAGTAATTCACTGAGTAAAGTAAACATTTGGCACTGAAAGAAGTTAGACGGATAACTATTTGTATCACCATATTCATGAAGCTGGAATATTTTCCATTACTGGTATCACATCCGAATGGAAGATGTTAAAAGGTCTCTCATCTTGTAAGATGGATATGAAAGAACATTTTCTGAGAAATGAAATTATTAACACACCTGCGAGGTGGATGGAAGAGAAAAAAGGAATAATCAGCTTGAGTTCTTCTCCTTGATAAGACAACTCACTAAAAACATAAAGAGAAAAATACAAGTTTAAAATAATTAACCAGAAAAAGACGACTCTAGAGTTTTTAAATTGCTGATAAGATTTTAATTTGCTCCAAGTTGTAAGTAATTATATTGCTTGTGTTTTAAGGCACATAATGAGCAATTATATCACACATGATAGTTTCAGCAGTAAAAAATTATCCGTTAACAGCTGGAACTCATAAAAGCATAGCACAATGTGAAGATGGAATTTGCTAAAATAAACCATCTGCTGAAAACTACTATTCTGCAAATTTAAAAATAAAGTTTAAATGTTATTTGCCTTATTTAATAGGTCTGTGAAAAAATGCGCTATTTGAAAAGTAGGTGCTACCTTAATTAATTCTTTATATTAGACGGCTGGTTACAGTAATGCACAGTAAGGTGCTACATAGACATATTGCTAAATTTTCTGCATATACTATGTATTTGGCTTAAGTTATTTGAAATTTTATAGTTAAAATAACAAATGTATATTTAAATTTTTTGACACAAATTGCAAATATACCTTTAAAAAGCGTCTTACACTCTAAATATTATTTGTCACCTATATATTTGTCTTTTCTCTATAGGAAAGTTTAAATTTTTCCCTTGAAGCTTTAATTATTTGAGTCTATAAAACAAACTGATAATGTACAAATTAACAGGAAAAAAGGTTTACAGATATGTGCACAAGTATGCACTTGGAGTTTACATAATATATATAAATATATCTATACAAACATTTGTATATTATAAATAGATATACAAATATATACTATATATATAAAAACTCCAGGAAAGGCAAGGTAGTCAACACGCCTATGCTGTCTTGAGGTTACAGAAAACACAGAGCTGTAGGTTGGTAAATCAGGCTTTGCGGAAGACAGGTGACGGCAAGGAAGAAAGAGGAGCCTGGCAGCAGAGGTGGTCTTGTTACATGGATGAAACCTCAAAGGGAGCAGCCCTCCTCTTGGGAAGTATAGATAGGAAATGGTTTTTAGAAATCTAAACGTGCCAGGCTCAGTTAATCTTTCCTAAACCCAGACAAGGGAGTATCTCAGGGAAAGCCTGTCTATATCACTGCAGATTTTCTCTACAAATGCAAATCTCCCCAACAAACACAGCTTTTCAGCTAGTCTTGTAGAAGATGCTATCTCCAGTCTTCCGAGTAGCCATCTTGAAATATGTCAAAAAGTTGCCCAGGCGCACGCCTGTAATCCCAGCACTTTCGGAGGCTGAAGTGGGTAGATCACCTGAAGTCAGGAGTTGGATACCAGCCTGACCAACATGGTGAAACCCCGTCTCTACTAAATACAAAAAATTAGCCGATTGTGGTGGCACATGCCTGTAATCTCAGCTACTTGGGAGGCTGAGCTAGGAGAATTACTTGACCCTGGGAGGCTGAGGTTGCAGTGAGCCAAGATTGTGCCATTGCACTCTAGCCTGGGCAATAAAAGCAAAACTCCATCTCAAAAAAAAATGTATTTTAGGGTAATATTTTGAGTATCTTTACCTCCATATGTACAATAAATATTATTGTGATTTTTAATCTTTTCTGTGGAGAAAACACAGGTGTGATTTCTAGTGTAGCTGAACATCGTTTATTTGAGAATATTGCACTTGTGTGTGGGTGTGTGCGTGTGTAGCTACTCTTTAATTTGGTTCTCACATAATGATTAAACAATTAATTCAGTAAAATGTAGGTTTTGCAATATTTCTCCATGTTATTATGCTTTAAATTAGTTTAATCATGCCCCTATAATGTGTACATTTTAACCTTTGACTAGAGGTCTCAATCTTACTTTGGTTTCTGTATTTGAATTTATGCTAATAAAGTCCTACAGCTAAAAAAGATTATATAAACTTATCTACATTTTTACTAGTATTCTGGTGTCATTTTAAATTATGTAATGAAATCAAATTTTAATTTGGATTATTGTTATCTGAGTTAAGGATCTACATTTTTAATTTTATTATAAATATTACATAATTATTTCTGAACCATATGTTGACTAATCTGCCCTTTATATGATGTGCATTATGAGAGCTTGGGATTGTTTTATTTGCAAAGATGAATGCTTGAGAAGTAGATATTTAATCATAACATTTCAAAATCTACTGGATAACCTAGAATTGAAAAATAGCCTATAGGTTGAAAAACTCCTGTAGTGAAGAAAGAAAATAACTAATATACAGTGACAATATAAATATTATAAGTATTTATTTTATTATCGCCCTGAAATTTGATAATACAAACATGTAATATCTACGTATCATCCATATATCAGGTCATAAAAAGTCAATACATTCTTCAAAAATTTAGCATAACAGAAAATGCACTCTCTCTCCTTGACGGAATTAAGTTACCAATAAAAGTAAAAATAAGTAGATAAGTAGATGGAATTAGATGTTTAAAAACAAAGAAAAATATTTGTTTTGGATAACATAAAATCTCAATTGACAATTCCAATATTTCCAGAACTTTGCCTGTCAACTGGTGGAGAGTTTTCCCCAGGAGACATTTGTCAATGTCTAGGGTTATTGTGGGGATGTCAAGACTGGTGGAGGTGTGAAATTTAGAGGTCAAACGAAACACCTAGCATTGCTAGGGCAGCCTCCCACAACAAAGAATCCTCTGGTCCTAAAGGCAAGTAGCACCAAGGTTGAGAAACCATAATCTAGACAGTAAACACTACGTAGCTATTCCAAGTGCTCAGGAAAACACATCAGTGCCCTCGAGGGGAAAAGTGTGAACATTTTAATTGCCGTACATGGTGACACAAATCCATGTTGTTAATCTAAGTGGAAGGTGCTGAAGCACAAAACATAATTCAAAGAGTTTACTTGAGCCAAAATGAGGACAGCTGCCTGGAAGAAACAGACCCAAGTATCCTTAGATATGAACTCCCTTTGGAGCTTTGCAACAAGCAGTTTCTTAAAGGCAAAAAAGGGTCCAGAAGTGGGATGATGCAAAGAGGTTTGTCACAAATTCTCATTGGCTTATGGAAATAACATTTATTAGTGACTGGCTATACACTGTTACACTATTATTGGGTGTGGATTATAGAGTCTGGTGTGGCGTTATTGGTTAATTTATAGCTACTGTGGCAACAGCAAGCAGCCTAGATGAACACACAGCTCAAAGAGGAGCAGGACAGAACTGCTGTCTCATTTGAATATCTCTCTGGGCCTGATTATTTAAAAGGACTTGCATTTCTCACATGAAAGTTATTTTCTTTTCTCAATGTCCATAAATGAGAATAAATAGATGTAAAATAGATCTTTTCGAGGATGAAGTAAATGGAATGAAAAACAAAACCCAAGCTGACCAGAAATCATAGAGGGAAGAAAAGGTTATAAATATATGGATTTTTCAAAGTGATTTTAAGCTATTAGGAATCAGTTAAATGTTGGGGGATTTTGTCTGAGAATGGGCTAAAGGAGAATGTCCCTTTTGCCTTCTGAAGTTTCCCTGAAAATCACTAATAGGAGGCAGATAAATAGTAGAAAAGGCATACAGGTTTCTGCAATGTGTGTACACTGGAGACCTTAGAACGAAGACCCAGACACACGATGCGTGCAGAAGCTTATCTACCACATGAAGTTTACAGAAAGAATGGGTTCTTGGATCACAGGGAAAAAAAAAAAAGGTTATGTGAGAAAACGACCCTGGCTAGCAACAGTGGGCTTGTTACATAGGTGGAACCTCACTGGGAGCAGTCCTCAGAGAGAATAGACAGAAAATGTTTCTTTCAGACCTTTGGAGACCTCAGACTCTCAGTTAACCTTTCCTAGATCCAGACAATGGGGCAGACCTCAGAGAAAGCCTGGCTGCATCAAGGCAGATTCTCTACCGATGCAAATCTCCCCAAGACACCTTCGCAGCTAAGTTTGCATTTCCAGCCCTTCTCAATAGCCATTTTGAAATATATCAAGGAAATATATTTAGGGGTAAAATATATTAGTTTCCTTCATACAGCTATAAAACATACAGGAATAATTTTTGTCAATGTCTACTACAAATCCAATATAGCAGTAATTATAAAACCCACCAGATATTGAAGAAAAAATATGTAGAGTACATCAATTACAAATGTTGATACTAAAATGCCAAATAAAATAAAAATAATATCCAACAATATTTGAAAGAGTAAGACAAGAAATTGGCAAAAAAAAAAAAAAATATATCCACCTTGGGGATGAAAGTGTGTTTCCAAATTTGGTAATCCGCTAATATTAACAATCATATTGATTAGCCCAAATTAAAAATAAATAGGGGATTCTCAGTACATGCTAAAATATATTAGTGAAAAGGCAATATTCATGTCTTTAAAGATTTTAAATGCTATAAAGAGTCTGATATTCTATATGCAAACATGTGTATGTCCATTAGAAGAATAGAGGCCTGATTTTCATATGTTACTACATAGAGATAGAGAAGTGGATAGATTAATTTGCATATGCATAGAGAAAGCATAAAATAGAAATTTACTATCATATTAAAGGAATTTTAATTCAACAATAAAATAATTCAAAGGTAAAATTTTAAATATTTTTAACAGGTACATTATTAATATTAGATAATATTTATAATAATTGTGAAAATATTCAATGCTAAAATAAGATACAATGTCTAAACATCAGTATTAAAACTAGTATAAATATTTGCTTGTTTATACAAGGAAAATTCAGGCTCGACCTAAAATTATATAGGAAATAAAAGAAAAATTTTAAGGGAGCTCTTTAATAACATAAACTTATATATATATATATACACACACACACACATATAACATGTATATATGTTATATGGGATAGATATAGATTTAATAGTTTATATCTATATTTGTATCTATAACTACAGCTGTATGTATCTACATTTCTATATATTTACTCAGTGATATAAATATAGACTGGAATAAATATAAAGACACATATGATTCTTGGATAAAAAGGATTTAGTATCATAAAGACAAATTCTTTCCAAATTCAATTATGAATTCACAACAATATACAGTTTCATTAGTATAATTTAAAATTTTTAAATAAATTCCAAGATTCATTTAAAGGAATATACATGTATACAAGCAGTCAAGAAAGAAGCAAGAGTGCACTAAACTAACTTGCTATTAAAATACATTTTTAAACTTAGTAACTAAAACTGAGCAGTACTGATTTGGAGTACTGGAATTTAGGCATATGGGATCTCAAAAGCACAGAGCTCAAAGGAGACCCCTGTATGCACGAGAGCTTAGGATGTGCTTTAGAAGGCATTACCAAACCACGGGCAAAGTTACTTTAGTGTCTTAGTCTTACTAGGTTTGGAAAGCCAGAGAAAAGACTCAAGACCACCATATAAGAGTAAAACAAAAGGACAGGGAGAGAATGTGAAGATATTGAAACATTTTACATAAAGTTGTATAAAACATCCTTTAAAGAAAATATAAAGTTTAGGATATACTTCAAAATCAGCAGAGCCACTAAATAAATAAATAGGCATTGTAAAATAGCAAGAGAAAATTTAAATGGATTTCTAAAAAATATTGACACCTATGATTTTTAAAATATGTTTAAGAAATCCCGTATTTCACAGGGCAGCCTTTCACAACGCAGATATGTTAGGACAGAACGGTCTTTCTGTTTTTAATTTACTAGTGTTTATAGGGTTACAAATGTCTTCTACCCTTGTCTTTTGTCTGATGGTGCAAAAAGTTTTCATAAGCATGTATTTCTGAATGCCTGATGGATTCACATATATAATATGCTGCTAGTATTAAAATATGTGACGGAAAAGGCATCCAATCTTCTCACTGTTTACATAAATTCTAGGTTTCTCCTATTTACCTCAAGCACGTATGGAGCGAATTCTTACCTTTTAATATTGCCATGGCATTCACATTGAACATAAGTTGAACTCTCTCATATGGTAGCTGGGTTCAGATTCCCTTGACAATTTCCAGTTCTAACCCTCACAGTTCCTCAGTGTGGCTGGCCCAGATATTGACCCTACACAGTTGCCTCCTCCTGGTGACTACCAGCTATGGAACCGTTGGATACAACCTACTTGACTCACCCCAGAGACCTCACAGCGCACATGGACAGCCCCCACACGCCAGAGTGACCTGCTTGGTTACAGCGGGAGTCAAGAAATGTGCCTGCTGGCACTCACCCCACCAAGTAGTGCCCTGTGGAAAACTTATTTGGGTAATGTTCTGGGCCCAATAAAAGCTAGAGTCCCACAGACCCCTTTTCTCTCTCCTGCTCCCGACTCATCTTCCCCATTTTGTTCAACCCTATGAGGTGTGCTACTGTATTAGTCCATTTTCACACCACTGGTAAAGACATGCCCAAGACTGGGTAATTTCTAGAAGAAAGAGGTTTAATACACTCACAGTTCCACATGGCTGGGTAGGCCTCACAATCATGGCACAAGGTGAAAGGCACGTCTCACATGGCAGCAGACAAGACAAGAGAGCTTGTGCAGGGAAACTCCTCTTTATAAAACCATCAGATCTTGTGAGACTTATTCACTATCAGAAGAACAGCATGGGAAAGACCTGCCCCCATGATTCAATTACCTCCCACCTGCTCCCTCCCACAACATGTGGGAATTCAAGATGAGATTTGGCTGGGGACACAGCTAAACCCTCTTCTCAGCTACCCTCCTCTCTCTGGATCTGTGAGTAATAAACCTACTTCTGTGATTTCCCATGTTTGGTTCTGTGGCCTCCATGTGTCTGAGCTGACCTACACTGGAACATAACTCTCCTCCTGGCCAGGGTCTCTGAGAGTGGCTCTTGTCAGAAATACACAGGACACAGGTCAGGCAACAGTCACCAGGCATCTCCTAGTCTCAACAGATGTTCTGTGAGAGGGAGGCCTGGTCGTGGGATGCACACCTGGCCACTGCTGGAGTAAGGAATTGTCCTGTGAAAGGCACATGTTAAGCATCCACAACCCCCTGACCAGAACCCCAGAAAGGCAGGGCTCCAATTGACGGTCACTCTCCAGAGACAAACCTCAAGCCCTAACTGGAGGAAAAGAAAACAATGTAAAAGTTGAATTTATCTTACTATTTCAATGATCCAGTAAAGACATTCTATGCCTGTACACCACATATTTTCTTCGATTGTGGATTTATTTTAGATAGAATTTTATGTCTGGCTTTCACTTTAGCCTGGTCCTTACCTCAAGCATAAGGTAAAGATTTTCCATGGGTTCTTTTCTGGTACTACTACCTGCCAGTGTGGGGTCATGTCCTAGTCTATCTTGAGGGAATCCCCCTGTTCATTATTGTCAGAGTGAGACTGTTAAGTCTTGATTTCCCTGGACAACTTCACTGCATGACTTTTAATATGATTTTTTAATATACCCTTTACTGGACAATAAATTATATAGTTATCTGGATAAGAGATATGGTCAGGAAGAGGCATTGCCTCATTCAGCTTTTCTCTTTGGTGAACTCGCATATGTTCTCCTCACCCTCCAGTCACCTCTAAACCGTATTGTTCCAAGACAACAAACAGAACTCGAGTGTGTATCTTTCACCACTGGATTTGTGTTTGCTCCATAAAGCTTCATGCTTAATAGAGTTTCTGTTAGCATTTTCTCTATTTATTTTCCCATAAAATATCACAGGCCTTCTTCATATGGAATTATGGGTGATTTCCTTCAATCTGCATCATATCAAGTTGAGGTTCATGTTGATGAAAAGTAAAACATACATTGAAAATATCAGTAATGATGTTTTCCCCTCCTTTTTAGCACCTGTGCTTGTGATACAAGCACATTTTCATACAATTGTAGTCTCATGCTTTGATCATTCCTATGATGAAAATAACATTTTTAGATAAAATATCTGAGTTTTATGAGGCCTTTAGTATGTGATGTGATAGAATATCAGAAGACCATAATTTTTTCTAGTTTTCCATGCAATTCTATCATTGTTTCATCTTTATTCCTACCAGAGTAATTTTCCAAAATAGATATCTTGTCATTCTTCCGTTGTTATCAGTAAATAAGTGAAATGAAAAGCTAGATTATATAATTTATCTAGAACAAGAAAGTAGAATTGAATCTATATTCATTAATGAGACTAACCAGTCAATTACACAGATAGGCATTTTACATTTTGAAGATCATATGGTCCCATCTTCAGAAATATTATTTATGTCTATATGGACATCACCTGTGCATATTTACATAGAAATCTAAATGAGAGCTGATTTTTATTTTTATTATATATATTTTTTGAGATAGGGTCTTGCTTTGTTGCCCAGGCTGGATTGCAGTGGTGCAATCACTGCTCACTGCAGCCTCAGCCTCCCAAGCTCAAGCAATCCTTCCACCTTGGCCTCCCAAATAGCTAGGACAACAGGTGCACATCACCATGCCAAATTTTTTTTTTTAACTTTTGATAGAGACTGGGTCTTTCTATGTTGCCCAGGTTGCTTTTGAACTCCTGGGCTCAAGGAATCCTCTCATTTCAGCCTCTTCAACTGCTGGTATTACAAGCATAAGCCACCATATGGGCTGGAAGCTGATTTTTAAAATACTGAGATCATATAGATGACAGCACCTGAAAAATAGACAACACCAAGCTTTATGTTAAAAGGTGTGAGGGTATCAATATTGTTGTGGCTATTGGGGAGGAAAACATTAGTAAAACCAGTAAGTTAAAGCTCTTGCTTTAAACTTTGGCTTTAATTTAACAAATGTTCTATGGAGTGACAGTATGTATGTAACCATGCTATGCCCATTCACAGATGCAGTAGAGGGAAGAATTTCTCAAAGACAACTGTTCTAAGACTCAAATTAAACTGTACTGGGTTTGAAAAGAGAAAGTCCAGGAATTACCAAATATTTTAGATATCAGATAAAAGGGAATGCCAGGTGTGCGATGATAATCAGCAATGGTTGTTCACACAATAGATCAAATCAGTATTTGAATTAGCTTTTGAATTACAAGGACAAATGGATCAAGTCTAGACTCTTTAGTAGATAAATTTTATTAGGCTGAGATGTGTTTTCCCCTGTTTTTCCACAAGGAGATTACAAATTTGCAAACCTCAGCTGCTCTCATTTTATGCTCTCACCAAGCCAAAAGCTGAAGTTCATCAATCAGTGTGTCTAAGTGTTCACTGGTTATATACCATTTTGTAGTTTCAGGTATCTTTCCAACTTCCTAAATCATCACCTTCATTTGATCTTGTTTTTTTCCACTATCACTTCTTTATTGACCATATAAAGAATATAAGTGAGTTCTTATTTTGTTATTGTTCATTTTAGTCTAATTTCATCAAAATATCACAATCTTTTCATTTCATTTTAATTTCAAAGATTAAATGAAACCTACATAGAAATGAGTGTAAGATTTGCATTTGCATTATTTTGGCATCAATTTGCTATCCTCCCTCATGCACATAGAGATCATTTCCATGTACGTGATTTCAAACATCCAAGTGCAGTATTAAAAGCAGTTGTAAATTATGGTTCTCATTTTCATGATACAATTACAATATAAACTTCCTCTTGCTGCTGTAACCAATTACCACAAACTTCATATCTTACAATAAAGTGACCGTTAATCCTACAGTTCTGTAGTTCAGAAGACTTGAATGAAACTCACAGGGCTAACATCAAGTTTTGGGCAGGGCTGCAGTCTTTCTGAGGGCTATGTGGCAGAATCTATTACTTGATTTTTTTCAGCATCCAGAGGCCACCTTTATTCCTTGGAACATGACCTCATTCTTATATCCTATTTTTCTTTTTTTTTTTTTTTGAGATGGAGTCTCCTTCTGTCACCCAGGCTGGAGTGCAGTGGCATGATCTCAGCTCACTGCAACCTCTGCCTCCCGGGTTCAAGTGATTCTTCTGCCTCAGCTTCCTGAGTAGCTTGGACTACAGGCACTTGACACCATGCCCAGTTAATTTTTTGTATTTTTAGTAGGGATGGGGTTTCACCATGTTACCCAGGATGGTCTCGATCTCCTGACCTCGTGATCCACCCACCCCAACCTCCCAAAGTGCTGGGATTAGGCGTGAGCCACCGCGCTGGGTCCTCATTCTTGTATCTTAAAAGTCAGTGATGTTGAGTAATTTCTCATGCCACCACCTCCAAGGTTGCCTTTCTTCTGTCTTCTTCTTTCACTTATAAGGATGTTTGTGATTTCATTGATCCCAGCCATTTAAGACAATCTCTCTATCATTTTTCCGCAACCGTAATTTCACTTGAAATCCAATTTCACACTGCCGTGAAATCTAACATATTTGTATGTTAGACTCTGGGAATTGGGACATGAAAATTTTTGGGAGGCCATTCTTTTGCCTACAGCAGACATAATCTATTTACCTGAAGATTAAAGCGTTCTTTATTTTTCTGTCTCCCTCTCTTAATTTTTTAAAAATAATATGAATTGTAGTAAAGAGAAAGAAAGAAAAGAAAACAAAGAAAGAAAAAGAAGGAAGGAAAGAAGGAAGGAAGGAAATAAAGAAAGAAAGAAGAAAGAAAAGAAGGAGGAAATGAGGGAAGGAAGGGAGAAAGGCAGGAAGGGAGAAAGGCAGGAAGGGAGAAAAAAGAAAACATGAACACAAGAAAGAAAGAAGGAAGGAAAGAAGAAAGAAAGAGAAAGAAAGAAAGGAAGAAGTGAGGAAGAAAAGGAGGAAGAGAGAATGGTAAAATGGAGGAAGGCAAAGAAACAAAGAAAATAAAGAGGTGAAGGAAGGAAGGAAGGAAGGAGAAAGAGGAAAGGAAGGGAGGGAGGAAGGAAGAAAAGGAGGGCGGGAGGAAGGGAGAAAAAAGGAAAGAAAACAAGAACGTGAGAAAGAAAGAAAGAATACGAGAAAAGAAGGAAGAAAAGGGAGGGAGAAAGGAAGGGAGGGAGGAGGGAAGGAAGAATAAGAGGAAAGAAAGAAGGAAAGAAGGAAGGAAGGAGAAAAAAAGAAAGAAAAGAAAGAAAGGAAAAGAAAAAAGAAAAGGAAGAGGAAAAGAAGAAAGGAAGGAAGAAGGCAAGGGAAGGGAAGAGAAGACAAAGGAAGATGGAAAGAAGGAAGGAAGACCGCAAATATTAGAAATTCTGTGTTTGTTAGAGAATATGCCATACTGTTTTTTTTTTCACTTGAAAGGAAAGAGTATCTGCCATTGAAGATTGGATGTCTTGTTGGTGATATTGTTGTTCTTATCTTCCACATGATTACTGAGTTTGTGCCTAGTCTGTCCATTACTAAGACAAAAGTGTTGAAGTCTGCAAATATAATTTTGGGTTTTTCTAGTTCACCTTTGATTTCTTTCCTGTTTTACCTCATGTATTTGGAGGCTCTGTTGTTAGCTGCATACCCTAATTAGTAGGATGTTTACATCTTCTTGAGAATTGATTATTCTATTATCTATTATCTCTCATCTCTGATACTATTTCTTGTTCTGAACTCTGTTGTGTCTAATATCAATGTAGTCCTTCCACAGCTTTATTTCAGTGTTTCCATGATATGGCTTTCTCCATATCTTGATGATAACCTATTTCTATCTCTATATATTTGGAGCAAGATATAAAATTTAGACTTGATTTTTTAAAGATTTTTCAAGATGGAATTCTTATTTCTTTTTGTTCTATTTGACATTCTCTGAGTTTCCTATATCTGAAGTTTGATTTTCTGTCACTTCTTTTAGAATATTTTTGGCAGTTATTTTGAAATATATTTCTTTTGCTCCATTATTTTTTCCTCTTTTCTTTTTGGGATTTCAATCATAACTAGAGTAGGTAATTTCACTCAGTCTTATGCAGGTACTTTTTCTCAGGGTCTCAGGAATGTAGCCTTCTCACACTTCTGTTCTTTTCCTGGCTGTGTTGGTGAGCTCAGTGATATTCCTCCTTCACCTTCAAGAGCAGTTTTGTTTTGTTTTTCCTGTTTTCATACTCCCAGCATCAGGAGTATTCTAAGTGTGGCAGTTTTTGTTGCCTTCCCCTACATATTAAGTGGAATATCTTGGTCTATTTGGACTCTTATAACAAAATAACATAAACTGGGTGACTAAAAAACAACAGATATTTCTTTTTTCACACTTCTTGAGGCTGTAAGATCTCAGGTCAAGATGCTCACAAATTCAGTGTTGATGAGAGCCCATTTCATGGTTCATAGATGGTGCCTTCTTTCTATGTCCTCAGACAGTGGAAGGCACACAAGAACTCCATTGAGCTTCTTTTATAAAGGCACTAATCCCATTCATATGGGCTCGGCCCCCAAGACCTGGTCACCTCCCAAGTGTTCTGCTCTCCCTGATCTGTGTCATATACAGACTCTCTTGGATTCCTTACCAATTGCCTGAGAGATCACAGTGGGTTTGTGAGGAAAACGTTTTCAAGATGATGGATCTTTCCCAACTTCTGCAGCTGTCAGCGGTCTCCCAATCTCACCAGCCCCACTTTGTCTTTAGGAATTTATTGATTATTCCAGCTTTACTTGTCATCGTGGTGTCTATTTGCATCTGTCCTATGTAAGTGCATCTGTCCTCTTTCTCCTTGCAGGTGCTTGTTTTCCCTCACATTTTGACTCAGTTCTTGGCAACCTCATTGCTATAAAAATAGAGTCATGACTTTGAAGTCAGTTAGTTTGGTTCTTTCATTGTTGTCAGGTTAGGAACCCTATTCCATCCCAGATCTCCAAAACCCAGACTTTTTGGGGGGTTGAAATTTTAGGCTTTCTCTTTGAATTGTAGTTTTATCTTCTTTCAGTTGCCATTTGCATTTTCATAATGATAAATGAGACTAAGCTTTTTTTGTGTAGTTGACTGTACCTTTGGATTTTTTTCCCAAATACCTTTTTATTTCTTCTTTTCTTTATGGTTTTAGAAAATGTAGTTTAGATAATTGCAGCTTGATTTTTTACTCAGTTAATGGCATGCTTAATGGAGAGAAAAAATATTAAATATATTTCCCTTTTTAATTACTGTGCTTTTTTCTTTTTTAAGGAAATGTTTCATTATGTTAAATTTCAGTGTTATTCTACTTAGCTATTCCTTAAATATTATAGTATTTTGGAATTTCACATGTAAATTTGTAACATATCTTGAGTTTATTATGTATAGAGTAAGGCTATTTTCTCTTTTTTTAAGGTAAAAATCACATAATATAAAATTAATAACAACCATTTTAAAGCATACAATGCACTTGCTTTTAGTATATTCACAATGTTCCAGGGCAATTTCATCATGTCCCTTCCAAAAACCCATTATGCATAAAGTTGTTACACCCTATTCTGCTTCCCTGAGCCCTAATGACCACTAATCTAATTTATATCCCAATTGATTTGCCAATTCCTGATGTTTCATGTGAATAAAATCAAGTAATATTTGTACTTTTGTGCACTTAACATAATGCTTTCAAATTTCACCCATATTATAACATATATAAGTACTTCATTCTTTGTTATAGCTGAAAATTGGGTGTCCGTTTATGAGTCAACAAGCATATGGATTGTTTCCACTTTTTGACTGTATGAATATTACTGCTGTAAATATTCATGCACGTTTATTTTTTGAGCACCTATGTTTTGTAAGATTAACAGCTGACTTAAGATAAACAATGGAAGGCAAGAGGCAGTAGAATAATATATTCAAAAGATGCAAAGGAAAAAAAACTCTCAGCCACGAATTCCTTATCCAGCAATTATTTTTCAAAAACGAAGATAACACAAAGACTTACCCAGATAAACAGAAATATTAACTGAAGTTGTTGCTGGCAGGCCTACCACATTAAAAAAAACTCTAAAATAAATTCCTAAGGCTAAAAGCAAGTTACAGAAGACAGTCACTTGAATCCACATTTTTAAAAAAGCACTGGTATAGGTAATACTGACATTATAAAAGACAGTAAAAATGCATTTTTTCTCTTTATCATAAATTGTTTATTAAATAACATGTGTATAATGGCCGGGCACGATGGCTCACACCTGTCATCTGAGCACTTTGGGAGGCCAAGGCGGGCATATTACGAGGCCAGGAGATCGAGACCATCCTGGCTAACACAGTGAAACCCCGTTTCCACTTAAAATACAAAAAATGAGCCGGGCGTGATGGCGGGCGCCTTTAGTCCCAGTTACTCGGGAGGCTGAAGCAGAAAAATGGCATGAAGCTGGGAAATGGAGCTTGCAGTGAGCGGAGATTGTGCCACTGCACTCCAGCCTGGGTGACAGAGGGAGACTCCGTCTCAATGATAATAATAATAATATGTGCATAATGTATTGCTGAGTTTTTGACATGTAGAAATGTAATACGTCTATAACATATTTTCCAGTAACATCAAAAAGGAGGTAGTTGGAAGAAAAATGTATTGTGATAAGGTAATCACTCTAGATGGTAAAGTAATAATTACTAAAATGTATTGTTGGCTTTGTAACTTTAATAGATGTAATGTGTAAAGTGATAATACTTTAAAATGGAGGAAATAAAAGAGATTTATATAAGAATGATGTTTCTATGTATTACTAAAAGTTTACTAGTATAAATTGGAAGATGATTTGAATAATTAATTTTCCATATACCTATATGGTAAACTTACAACAACAACAGAAATTCTCAAACATATATAATAAAATAATTCATTAGTAATCTAAAGTTCCCTAGTTTAGAAAATATTCTTTCATTGCAAAATAAAGCAATAAAGAAAAATATTTGAGAAATATATAAAACAAACGGTAAAATGGCAGACATAAATAGAATTATACCAATTATAATCTTAAATGTGAGCAGATTAAAATCCATTCCAGAGGCAGAGATTGTCAGACTGGATTAAAACAAGTGATCCCAATATACGCCGAGATGCAAGGATACTAATGGATTGAAAGTAAAAAGATGACAAAAAATATCATGCAAAGAGCAATCATAAGAACACTGAACTCATTATACTCATAACACACAATATAGACTATTAAAAATGTGAATAGGATTTTAAAAATTTATATTGTAGTAAAAAGGGGGTCAACGCTTTAGGAAGACATAGCTATTACAATCATGTATGCACAGATATAAGCTAAATTGTTTCCTCTATATAGATGTTGAAATTCTAACCACTGAATATGACCTCATTAAGAAATAGGTTCTTTGCAGCTGATCAAGTTAAGATACAATCAGATGCGCCTGAATTCAGTATGACTGATGTCCTTATTAAAAGAAGAAATTTGAGTAGAGGGAGACATACACACAGGGAGAGTACCATGTGATTATGAGGGCAGAGATTAGCCAAGGAATGCCAAAGACTGCCACTAAACCATCAGAAGTGAGAAACAAGGCATAGAACAGGCTTTCTCTCATAGCCCTTGAAGGGACCATCCCTCCTGACTCCTCAATCTCAGAATTTTAGCTTCCAGGACTATAAGACTATAAATGTATGTTGTTCATGGCACCCAGTTTGTGTTACTTGGTTATGGCAGCCCTAGAAAACTAATACATGAACTAATAACAAAGCATAATAACATGAAGCAAAAATTGACAAAAGAGGAGCATCAGCAAAATGTCAGTGGAGACAGCTGCAATCTTTCATTTCCCCACAGAAACATCACACAACTAAGAGAAACTGTCCGAATAAACTTTGCCAAAACTCTGGAAAATAGTCAAAAGATTACAACAACTGAGTGAAAGCAGACTCAAGAAAAAGGCAACTTGAAAACTTTATGACATTTTTAACTTGCCTTTGCCCCAGCAAATTGGCAGTTTTGAAGTGTCAGAAGCCCACGTTCCCAGTGAGGAACACTGGTCCATGGTCCAAAGGAACAAGAGAAGATCTTACCCGCCAATTACTATGTGTCTGTTCTGACTGGTCTGGGGGATACCTAAAGGACTCATGAAAGGCTTTTGTTTTTCTGTGTTGCTAGAATACAGAACAGATAAGGAATGGACATTATCAAGAAACTCTGCAAGGAGACCTAACAAACCACAGATGCTTAGGGCAAAAATTAGAGTTTACACATATAGTAGATCACCTTCAGCACAGGAAGAAAAGTTGGAGAAGAGTATTTGGAAAACTAAGACATTCAAAATCATTCACGTACATGGGAGAGTCTAGAAAGTCACTTGTATGCATAGGTTAAGCCACATGCTGACAAATGTCATAAGAAGACCCTACGCTTTTACCTTGGCCGATCCCTCCCCTCAGTGCAAGCTATGTGCAAGGGTGAACTTGAACTTCACTCAGCGCAAGAGTGAACACACACTTTGTCCCGGCTTTAAAGAACCCAGCACAAAGCCAGTCTGCATGGCCTAGAGACATATTTTGCTGGACAATGATTACTTTTTTTCTTTTTGTTTTTGTTGTATTTGCCTGTTTGCTTACTTCCTGACATACAAGAAAATCACTGTCAAAACATTAGCTTAACATTTGTTAAGGAAACAAAAAGACTTCGGTGACCACACCTTATAAAGCAAACAGTTTTGTAAATCACTTTGGAAAATTTCACTAAAAAAAAAATCCTTAACAATATTATAAGTAAAGAAAATTTAAAACCCCAAAACATTACTGTGTTTGTGGGGGAGGGTCTGATTTACAGAGTAACCACATAGTAATTATAATTATTATAATGCCCAGTTTTCAAAAAAAGTTACAAGGCATACAAAGAACGGAAAATTATGGCTCATTCAAAGGAACAAAACAAACTGACAGAAAATATCTCTAAGGAAACCCAGACTTCAAACTTACTAGACAAAGACTTTAAAACAACTCTCTTAATTATACTCAAATGTCACAAGGAAAACATAAACAAAGAAATAAAGGATTCAGAAAAAATATTAAAAAGTAGGAATATCAACAGAGATAGCAGAAATTCTGGAGTGGAAAACTACAATGATAAAAATTTAAAAATCACCAGAGGGATTTAAGAGTATATTTGCACACACAGAAGAAGTCATGAGCTTGAAGATAAGAAAATGGAAACTATTGACTCCGAGAAACAGATAAAAAATGAGCAGAGACTAAGGAATCTGTGGGACATCATCAAATAGACCAACATTCATATTCTAGAAGGATAAATTATGTTGTTGAAAACTTTAGCATTCTTTCTTTTCACCTTTCTTTCTTCCTCCCTCTCCCTCCTCCTCCTTTTTACTTTTCTTCCTCTTCCTTTCTCTTCTTCTTTCTCTCCTTCATTATCCCTTTCGCTCTGTTTCTCTTTCTCCCTTTCTCTTTTTTCTTTTCTTTCAATTTTCTCCATTACTAAGAGATGTTTGAATACTCTTACCATGTGAGTTGATATGGTTATTTCTCCCTTTAATCCTCTTTTGAGATTTATAGTCTCTCTAAGTAAAGAGATAACCCAAACATAAGCCTCACAAACAGGCTTCCATACCATTCTTAATTTGGTCCTGTAATTCTTCATTGCTGTATTAACTTTCTGATGCTTTTAAGGATGTTTTACAACAAATTGTTTAGTTTTTTCCACTGGAATGTTTATTCTCAATTATCTAATTCATATTGTAAGTATAGAGGGAGTTTAATATAAAATTATTAAACTAATATTTGTGAAAGAACGTATTTGTGCATTTAACAAATATGTTAATCCTCAGACTGTTATTGGGCAGCTGAGCATGCAGCAATAAAGATAACATAATTTTTATGTGTACAATATTTATGGAATACGTTACTGGAACAAATAAATAATTTAGTTAATAACATGACAAAGAACAGAAATTGTATACACTATAGAGCATAGTAATGGAATAATGAATGATTAAAGTTATTAATATTAGGTAGAAAATGAAGGTTATCTTTGAGAGCAGGACTCGAGGAAGCAAGCAATTCGCCTTATGAGGAAAGAGTTACCTGTGGATAAAGGAGAAACTGAAAAATTTACAAGTCAAGATTTTTGAGCAAAAATAAAAATATGATTATTAGTCACCAATTCAGTACAATGAAAAAAAAGTTGAAGAGATATCTTGGAAGTAAACCATATTGTGGAAGAGCATGTAGGCTTTTGATAATCAGGGGATTATTCTGAATTAATTTTAAATGCGATAGGAATATATGAGATAATTTAACCAGAGAATAACATGATTGTGTTTGCATTTCAAAGGGGTGTATCTGGTGCACCGTGTAGAATAAATAGGTTATGTGAGCAAATAAATTGGGAGGCTACTCTAATCCAGAGAAAAAAGGTAGTGACTTAGGTGAGAATGCTGTCACGATGAGTGGTAGTAGTGGTGAGAAGTCGTTAGGCCATGGATGTATTTCATAGGACTGGCCAAGAGAACTGCAGCTAAATTGGAGTGTAGGGAGTGAAATGGAGAACTCAAAGATGACTCTCAGCACTGGAAAGTGACAGCTGTCACTGAAGCATGCTGATGCCTCTTATTAAGAGAGTTACTTGGGAATGGCAAGATCAAAACTTCTCACTTTCAAATTTATGAAAAATATTGTTTTCAGAACGAATGACTTTGGGATCAGAAAGCCATCATTCTAATTGATGGTTCCAAGACTACACGGGCTCACACTCCCAAGAACAAAAGTAAATCATCACAAAGGTGCTTCCTGATAATTCTAGAGAATGGAGAATTACTGTAACATCTTTCTGATTTTAGGAGAGGTAGCAGTTCCCTGTTTAGCCTAAACACTATTTTTTTTAAAGCTCAGCTAAGAGACTCCATTATAATTTTCAAATGTGTGTAACTTAAATTCTCATATGAAATACCACTATGCTTAAATTAGTCAAAACATTTTCCCCATCTACAACTCTATCTCGTCATTGCAATCATTTTCACAAAAGTGACTGCAGCTCACAGACCCTAAAAGGAGAAAATCCAGGGTAGGTTATCTGATCTAGTTAGTTTTGAAGACAGGATCTAGAGATTATTTAATATGAAATAGGTCACCTGAAATGAAGTGTTCACTGAAAACAGCTTGGATCAGCCCAGTTTTCTACCACTGAACCATGCATTTGGTTTAAAAAACACAACAACTCTGGGGAATATCGGCTGCTTCCAACTGTGTTGAAGGTGTTAAAGAAAAGAGCATAAAAGTAAAAATGATCATCTGAGGCCTTTATAGTCTCTGCTCAAGAGACTAGAGTCTTCCATTCTTAACGAAACACCCAAATATCTTAATAATTGGGCAAAAGCTAAATATCAGAGAGATAATTTTATCTTGAAGATTGTTAAATTATAATGGTGATTCACTACCTTGCCACGTCTCTGAGTCAAAAATTAGGTCTTTGTTTAGGAATCAATGGTACTCTGCAACTTGGAAATAGGAAGATTTTAGAAGACTAAAACACTGACTTTCTTGTGTGCAAAAAAAAAGACGTATTGAGATAAGACAAGTCTTTCCTTGCAAGGATACCTCTAATGCTCATACACCACCTCCCCTAACGTTAATATAGCTTCCAGGTCAGTAACCAGTGTCAGAGAGCAGCCCATGCAACTACAAATTCAATAGATGTCGAACACAGGGTCAAGCCTAGAATAAGAAGTCTTAGCTAATTAAGTATGTTTTTTTCCCCAAATTCATATTAACAAAAACTTGGATATGTCAGAGCATGCATTCTAAGTTCACTCAACCTAGGAGGGAGAAACATAATTTTAAATTAAGAGCTGAAGCATTCATGTCCTAACAAAAAGCAAGGAAAACGAAATATCACACCACAGGAGGGATTTCACAAATTAGTGTCAACATCAAAACCTTAAAACAGGCAAGGAGAATGCAGATTCACAATGAATTCTTGTACTTGTTTTGTTCAGAGAAGAGATGGTTCTGAGAGAATGACAGTGAACTAACCCCAGCTGGTTTAGTTGGTGCTTTCAACTGCTGCTTCTGATCAACTCCTTTAGCTAGAATAAATTGATGAGGATTTTGGCATGTGGTATTAGAGATGGTTATTAATTTTTTCCTCTTATTTGCATTGTTCAATGTAGTAAATACTAGCTGTATATGGCTACTTCAATTCAAATTAATTACAATGAAATATACTTAAATATTGAATTTTTTAGTCACTGTTGGTTCATTATTGAATATCTTCAGCTAAGATTTCCCATCTAAATACACTAAGAGGTGGCTTAGTTAACTGGTCGTCCACAAATATTGACGCTGATATTAACTCCTGATATATTCTCTGCAAATAGAATATTCATGAGCCTCCTCCTGAAATCAGCAGCCCTAGAGATAGTTTTATAAATTGGATACAAGTTGGAAATCTATATACTCTTTAAGTGTTTGAAATATTAGCTTCCCAGGGAAGAAAATCAAATTCATAAGATATGTTAGGACGATTTAACTCAAGATGTTCAAAACTGAAATGACGTATTCTACAATATGTGATAAAACCACCCCCTAACAACTTAAAGCAAAACAGGGATTGATCTTAAAGACCTGCCTTTTCCTCATCCCCCAGCCAATCAGTTTTCAAATCTTGCATTTTATTTCGAAAGGTCCTTATCCCCCTAGTCTCTTGTTTCTAGACTCGGCACATATTTAAGTTTGTTACCTCTATCTACTGACTTTTTTCTCTTCAAACGGTATCTATGCCTGCCAAATGTGAATATACAAAAAACAAATCAGAATGTGCCATTCTGATTTAAACTGCTTATTAGTTAAAACCCTCAAGATAACATCTGGGTTCTTGGCTGCAATGAGTCAAGCCTACTTACATCTTTTTTTGTCTTTGGCTGCACATTTCCTATCACATCACACTCCAGCAAAGCCAACCTGTGCTGGCCTTCTACCCCATCTCCACTATTTTGCCCCGTGTCGCCGCGGCTTTTTTGCCCCCCGCCGCCGAGGCTTTTTGACCCTCATCGCCGCAGCTTTTTGCTCTCCGCCGCCGCGGCTTTTTGCCACCCCCCCCCCACCCCAACACCGCGGCTTTTTGCGCGCCTCGGCTTTTTGCACCCCCACCGCCGCGGCTTTTTCCCCACCGCGGTTTTTTGCCCCCCCGCCGCCTTGGGTTTATGCCTGCCACGGCTTTTAGTTCCCTGCCGCCGCGGCTTTTTGCCCGACCCGGCTTTTTGCCCGACCCGGCTTTTTGCCCCCCCCTCCCGCCGCCGTGGCTTTTTGCACCCCTGCCGCCGTAGCTTTTTCCCGCCGCGGCTTTTTGCGCTCCCGCCGCGGCTTTCTGCCCGCCGCGGCTTTTTGCCCCCCGCCGCCATGCCTTTCTGCCCGCTGCGGCTTTTTGCCCCCCGCCGCCGCGGCTTTTTGCCCCCCGCCGCCACGCCTTTCTGCCCGCCGCGGCTTTTTGCCTCCGCGGCTTTTTGCCCGACCCGGCTTTTTGCCCCCCGCCGCCGCGGCTTTTTCCCCACCGCGGTTTTTTGCCCCCCCCCCCGCCGCCTCGGGTTTATGCCCGCCGCGGCTTTTTGTCCCCCGACGTCGCGGCTTTTTGCCGCCCGCCGCCGCGGCTTTTTGCCGGCCGTGGCTTTTTGCTCCCCCGCTGCCGCGGCTTTTTGTTCCCCCGCTACCGCGGCTTTTTGCGCCCCGCCGATGCGGCTTTTTGCGCCCCCCGCCCCCGCCCCGTGCCGCGGTTATTTGCCCGCAGCGGCTTTTTGCGCCCCAGCCGCCGCGGCTTTTTGCCCCCCACGCCGCCGTGGCTTTTTGCACCCCGCCGCCGTGGCTTTTTGCCCCATGGCCATCCTCAGAAGTGTGAGTGGAACAGAGTGAAGGGAAAGCTGTTTTCTTCGAAAGCTCAAAAATCTTGAACTTTCAAATAGGGATAAGTGTTATTTTTGCTCCAAGCACACATTTGAGAAATCTTCCATTTAGCGGATATGATGATAAACCCACATTTTTTGTTTTAATCTGAAAATGTATTTGTATGGTTCTTGGAAATTTTTTTTGCATATAAAATTATAGTTCATCATCTTATTTCGTTTTATTTACCATTTGATAGTTACTCCTAAAATGTCATTGATTAAAGAATCATCTATTGCTCCAACTGCTCTTTACGAAAGGTAATTTGTCTTTTTTAACCTCATCAGGCTCCTTTTAAGCTCTCAAACTGACCTTATTTTTTTTTTTACAGATTGAATGCATTAAGTCAATTTATTATTTATGATGAATTTATTTATGTATTTATTTTCGCTATCACAAGTAGAAAAAGCCTATAAGTTGCTATGCCAAAAACCTGCCTCTAGATGGCAAACAAACCCCGCAGTACACAAAAGAGAGCCAAATTCTTAGAAACCCTGGGAAAGGAAGAGGGCTACTGTCCCATTAACAACTTGGAGCCCTTAAGGCAAGAATGAGGTGGAACATCTGGAACATCTGGGAGGAGACACCAGGGTGCAGAGTAGTGGGGAACCTGCTCTGTGCTCTGAGACTGAAAGCCCAGCCTTGCCTCTCACCACTGCCTTGACTGTGTCCCCATCTGCTGTGAAGTGAATGGTGTCTTCTAAATTCATGCTGAGCCCTAATTGCTGAAAAGTGTAAGACATGCAATGGGGGGATTATGTGCATCTTCCCGACACCAACATGATGCTCAGGAAGGAGACTTCTTGTTTTCTCTTAGGATTCTTTTACTAACCAAGATTTTACCTCTACTGCATATTTCTGTTTGCTGATTGTCCTTCCCTTTTGACAGAAGATGGCCCAGGGCATTCACTACTAAGTCTCAACCTCTTATCCAAAGCCCTCAGTCCAGTATTGCTCTTTCCTTCATGCTATTTTTGTTTGTTTCTTTTCTTGTAATCATCTTGGCAATAAAATAATAACTTTTTTCTTTCTACCTATTAAAGATGTTACCTTAGTTAATTACAGTGGTTTCCTTCAGAATGATAAATGGTCTTTCAAAATGATGTAAAGAGATCTAAATCCGTGTGCTCCAGAAGTTGAATGAAGCTCTGTCTAGCACGGGCGCCAGTGACTCTCCCAGAGTGCTCCATGCAGCTGGACCCACAGAGTCCCTCTGTGCTGTCATATCACCGACTGCCTTCTGTGAATGAGATATTCTGATTGGAATCCTGGTGGATGCTATTTGAGCCAGTGCCCCCACAACTCCTATGAAAGCCGAGGACCACAGGCCCCTGAAGACAATCACAGGTCTCTAGACTCACAGCTCATGACCGTCCTCTGCAGACACAGCTTCTCCCCGGATGGCTGAGGGTTGTCATTGGCTGTGTCCTTCCTTGTGCATGACAACAGGAGACATAGAAGGTCTGTAAGCAGCCCTGCAAGCCAGGTTCTGAGCAAGCCCTCCTGTGTGGGGCCCTCTTACCTGGACATAGGTGTGTAAACCAAAAATGAAACTCTAAGCTCCCTAACCAACTGAATGAACTCCTCCTCTCAGCCAAGGACACACCAAAATCAACCTGAAATACAATGCAGTCCATGATCAGAACGGATGATTGGATATGCCTTAACTTACCCTCTTCCCTTTAAAATTCAGGCACAACTGACCAGCTTTTAATATGAAGACAGAGACCCTTGAGACTGACAAAGAAAACTCTTTATAGCAATAAGATACCAATGTGACAGATACCACGTCCTAAGAGAAATCAAAGTATTTTCCCCAAGATATCGTTATTTAATGTATTTAAAAATGCCTCTGCAAAGCTGGTTCTTGTGGGGAAAATCTACATTCTGTAGAGATTCCTTTTTAAGTCTCTTTCCTGACCCAGAGAGATTTAACTAAGAGTTTGGCACCTTTTAAGTCTACTAAGAAACAATTACAATCTATTCTCTCTGAAGCCTGCTACCTGGAGGCTTCATCTGCATGATGCAACCTTGGCTCCAAAATCCTTTTTCTAAACCCAGAAACTCCCTTGTGTTGATTACAGGTCATTAGATAAACTCTTTCAACCACCTATGAAATCTTTGAATCCACCTATGACCTGGAAGTCCCCAACATCCCCCCTCGTTCGGGCTGTCCTGCCTTTCCATATCAAAGCAATGTACAGCTTACACGTATTGATTGATATCTTATGTCTCCCTAAAACGTGTAAAACCAACCTGTAGCCCGACGACGTTTGACACACGTTCTCAAGACCTCCTGAGGCTGTTTCACTGATATTTCTTTAACTTTGACCAAATAAATTTCTAAACTGATTGAGAATTTTCTCAGATACTTATTTGTTTATAGGTATCACTGGATACACTTAAGGAATTGAAGAGATTTATGACATTGAGAAAAGGAGGAAGCCAGGGTGTGTGGACAGAGAGAGAGAGAGAGAGATTGTGATGTATGTACAGGACTAACACTGAGACCTGGTTATGTAATGGTGTAGTACTGAGTATCATCCCCAAATAGTGAGGTTTCATTCCAAGAAGACTATGCATGTATCTTATTTGGGAAAACAGCTTTTGCAGGTGTAAATTAAGGAGCTTGAAACAGGGAGATGGTCTTAGATTAATCAACTGGGACTTAAATGCAAACTCAAGTGTCCTAAAAAAAACAAGAGGTAGAGAGACATTTAGCATAGACTGAAGTGGAGAAGGCAGTGTGAACACGGAGACAGAGATTGCAGTGATGTGTCCACATCCCGGGAGAGAGAAGCCACCAGAAGCTGGAAGAGCTAAATCAGACTGCTCCCTAGAGCTTCAGAAGGAGCCAGAACTGATGAATCCAAGATCTTAGCCCAGTGAAACTGATCTGGACTTCTGAACTATGAGAGATTCCATTTCTGTTGTTTGAAGCTACCACATTTTTGAGAACTTGTTACAGTAGCCCGAGGACACTAACACAAATGGGGCTCCAGGAAAATCCAGACTAAAGGTGTTGTGTTGGTTTGCAATCTCCTTGCTTAACTTTCTGATACTAGACGTAAATAGATTGGTGAAAAATTTTGTGATTGAAGAAATGTACATGAAACCTACAGTGTACAGAGAAGCATCTGTTAGTTATAAGATAAATATTGATAATTTTAGTTGAAAATGACATATGACTGTTAATAGCTCACGTAACATTCTGAGTTACTCAAGAATGCATAAAAGGGGCACTAGATACTCTTCTCATGTATGTGTGTGTGTCTGTCTATACATGTATGTACACTTCATGGTGCATCAGCTGGCGGAACCCTCAGGGCACCCCTTCACATCCTCAGTGCCCCATTTCACACATGAGGAAACTGTTCATGACAGCACATGGCTGATTTGCATAAAAGTCACTTGGTCAGCAGTTGTTGAAGCTGAACTTGGAATCTAGGTCTGTCTGACCTTAACTATGTTCCTTCCACAGAGCCACGTTCATTCCATAGAGGAACCCACCACCTATAAAACCAGGAAAGAGACAAAGCCAGAAGTGAAGGGTGGATTTCTTAACACAAGCTCACTGCGACCTCTAGTCCTCATCACGCTGACACTAAGCTTAAACCCAGACCCTTCTACAGTTTTGTCTACAAAGCACAATTTGCCCAAAGCCTTTACAAACACCAACAGCCTTTCTTTCAGATATGGCAGCAGGGTCACATCTTACACGGCCCTGACCACATTTTGTCTCCTCTGCCATCCCCATCTCTCTGACTCAGTCCTCGCTTGCAGCCATAAAAAAGGATGAGTTCATGTCCTTTGTAGGGACATGGATGAAGCTGGAAACCATCATTCTCAGCAAACTATCGCAAGGACAAAGAAACCAATCACTGCATGTTCTCACTCACAGGTGGGAATTGAACAATGAGAACACATGGATACAGGAAGGGGAACATCACACACCAGAGCCTGTCGTGGGGTGGGGGGAGGGGGGAGGGATAGCATTAAGAGGTACACCTAATGTAAACGATGAGTTAATGGGTGCAGCACACCAACATGTCACATGTATACATATGTAACAAACCTGCACGTTGTGCACATGTACCCTAGAACTTAAAGAACAATAATAATAATAAAAAGAATGGGTCTTGTACCTCTAATTTGCCCTACAAATGTTAAAACAGCAAACCCGCATCCCTTTCCTCTTCTCATGTGCTGTGAGGGATGACCTCCAGGCTCTCAGATACCAAGATTGTATAAGACCTAACCCAGAGAATTACTCAAGACACTTTCTACATAAGAAGAATTGTGGTGCTAGCTCTCCTCATAGAAAAATGTTTTCTGTCTCTTGTTGAAATTGACAGCAAACACAAAAACACAGAACTATTTGGGAGAACAGAGGACAGTGATACACTAGGGAAGTAAAACACACCCCTTCCCCTTGCATTGGTTTCCTGTTGCTGCTGTAACAAATTACCACAACCTTACTGCTCCACATAACACAAGTGTATTATCTTACATTTCTGGAGGTCAGAAGTCTCAATGAAGTAAAGTCAAGGAGTAATAGGGCTCTATTCATTCTAGGCTTCAAGAGAGAGAATCCAATATCGAGCATTCCATCTTTCTGATGTTCCCACATTCCTAGCAGCATGGCCCCTTCCTCCATCACTCCAGTTTCCCTGTCCGTTGTCCCAGGTCCTCTCTGGCTGTTACCTTCCTCCTTCCCTATTATAAGGACCCTTGTGATTATGATGGTCTCACCCAGATCATTCAGGATACTCTCCTGACCCCCAAATTCTCAACCATGTCTGCCAAGTTATTTTTGACATATTCATAAGTAATGATCATAGATTCCAGATACTAGGACAATGATGTCTTTAGTGGGTGTATTATTCATTCCACAAACAACCCTCATCATCCACACAATGGTCTTCCCCTAAGGTAGAATAAAAATATCACAAGGCAGGTTTACGAGGCGATCGACCTAGAAAAAACCTGAGAATCTAGGACTGTCTGATGTGTGGATGTCAAATCCTGGGAGATTCTGAGTCTCTGCTCTATGTGGACTCTATGTTGTGTAGCCATTTGTGGAAGGCTTCTGTGATTTTGTGACCTAGAGAAAATGAATCTCTGCTAAAATCAAATCTAAGAAAGATTGGCAAAGGGAATTTAAAGATTTCCTAAATTTTTGGAATTTCCCTATGCATTAAAACATGAGAAGTGGCAATAATTCAAACCAACGATGCCCTCCAAGAATGAGGATTTTTCCAATGCATTATGTTGGGTCCCCTCCGTGAGAAGGATGCCAAAGATTCGCATGCAAGCAGTATATTTACAAAGCGCGGGAAACAAGCAAGTGAGCAAGGGAGGGGAGGAGGGAAAGGGAAAGTGAAAGGTGCCTCAGAAGGAGCCACCTCTGAGGATGACGAGAGCTCAAGCCCACATAGAAACACAGGAAAAATGCCTCTGTTATTCCATCTGAGAGGTGAGGGAGGTGCGGGATGTGTACACCTCCCTTGTCATCACTGATTGACAGCCGTCCTAGGGGATGCTAATTCCAGGCCATGAGGTCTGCCTCATTTGCAGCCTGAGCTGCTTCCCCAGGTTCAGACAGAGTAGTGAAGGGGAGAAAGGGCCATAGAGAGTCAGCTGAAGTATAATGACTAGAATCCCCAAGGCGTAGTAACAATGACTGCTAAAATTATGCACAAAGAAAAAGCGCATTTGAATCCAGAGATGTATCTCTCTGAATCTGGATATATGGATCCTGGCAGCCTGTTCAGTAGCCATTTCTCAGAAATCCAGTTCTCTGGAAAAGCAGCAGGAGGTTTGTGCACAGGCTGCACTACCTTGTTCTGGCCACTGGTAGTCGTGCATGAGAACTACTCCCTGGAGTATTTCTCAGTCCACTGACACTGATGTAATTGGCTCCACTTCCCCTGCTGTTGAGCCAGGCCGACACGCCCTGGGAAAAGGCATCTATGTGAAGTATTGAGGTTCAAATCAGTGCTTAAGATATGTTTGGAGGCAAAATACTTTTTCATCTACATGGGCAGTGTCTTGGCAGAAGATGGAGATTCTCTCTAAATGTATGTGAGACAGGGTGGCTGGCATCTGGGTCAGGATGATGCCCTGGTGCATGGCAAGAACATGCATTGGGCAGCAGCTGCTCTCGCTAAGGAGAGAGGTTCACTGACCTGGCTTTTCCCCCCTCACCTGCTCTCCAGAAAGCCAGACTCTAGGGCAGATGCTCCTGAGACCCCAGGAACAGGCTGGTGGGGAGCGCAGCTCAGAGCATTACTCAGGGGATGTGGCCTTTGTCATCCTACTTTGAAACAATTGATTATTTGAGCCTAGATTGATAGAGGGATTCAAGTTGATTTTAATCCTGGCTCCTATAGTCCGCGAGTGAAACAGAGATTTTGAAATGATGAGACCTGGTATTACTAGTCAGCTCTCCATGCTGGAGAACCATAAGAAATTATACCAAAGGCAGGAAAGGGGATAGAATATGGGGATCATCACGCCAAGAATAAGGTGCAGCCCATTTAGCCCCTGGGTCTTAAAGAGACACATAGCTCTGGATAATGGCAGATCTATGCGTGACACATTATCATCTTTGTGCATCTTCAGAGAATTGTTTTTCCTTTTACTCCTAGGAACAATTTCTTAAGTTTGTTAGTAAATTCTATTGAATTTATTAAAGATGCTTCTGATAAATTCTTTTTATATTGATTTCAAAAAAGAAGCAATTTCACACTGACAGAGACATTGTTATTATAGCACTAAATACTTTTACACTCATCAAATTCCTTTGAGACTAACTGAAATTTCTGACAGCCCCACACTCTATAACTTTATTGTAAATTTTCTGCCAAAAATGATGCTTTCCTATACACTCTTAATACAAGTATAAATATATTATTTAATCTAGTCTTAGGTTGATTTAAAATTTTGAAAATTCACTCCAAAAATATGTTCTGTAACCATATGGCCACCAATGAGAAGTGTACTCTTTCAAGGTAAATCTGTGCTGCCCTGGTCTGACCTGGGACTCTGGGGATACTGCGCCTGTGTGCTGAGTTACTGAGATGAGCCAGCCCTGCAGCTGTGCTCAGCCTGCCCCATCCCCTGCTGATTTGCCTGTTCCTAGAGCACAGCCCCCTGCCCTGAAGACTTCTTATAGGCTGGCCACACCCGGTGCAGGAGTCAGCCCCAGTCAGGACACAGCACGGACGTGAGGGCCCCCACTCAGCTCCTGGGGCTCCTAGGGCTCCTGGGGCTCTGGCTGCCAGGTAAGGAAGGAGAACACTAGGATTATACTCGGTCAGTGTGCTCAGTACTGTCTGGAACTTCAGGGAAGTCCTCTGATAACGTGATTAATTGCAAGAATATTTGTTTTTATATTTCTAATTTCAGGTGCCAGATGTGACATCCAGATGACCCAGTCTCCATCCTCCCTCTCTGCATCTGTAGGAGGCAGAGTCACCATCACTTGCCGGGCGAGTCAGGGCATTAGCAATAATTTAAATTGGTATCAGCAGAAACCAGGGAAAACTCCTAAGCTCCTGATCTATGCTGCATCAAGTCTGCAAAGTGGGATTCCCTCTCGGTTCAGTGACAGTGGATCTGGGACAGATTACACTCTCACCATCAGCAGCCTGCAGCCTGAAGATTTTGCAACTTATTACTGCAACAGAGTGACAGTACCCCTCCCACAGTGTTACAAGTCATAACATAAACCCCAAGGAAGCAGATGTGTGAGGCTGGGCTGCCCCAGTGCTCCTTCTGGTGCCTCTATCTGCTGAGGGAAGTTCTCAAACTCAGTCAGGTTTGGAAAGTCATCGGGAGATTTTCCTAGAGGAGGCCAGGGAGGTTCCTCTGAACCCTAAGCCTCTTTCACCCTCATCCCCAGCAGAAAAGGCGCGACAATGCCTGTCCTGACTGAATAAAGAAGAGAGATAAGTCCAGCTGAGGAGTCTGTGTTATGGGATAATCGGAATTTGTACAGCAAAAGAGAAGCTATTCTCAGTATTTCAAGGAGAAATTATTCAAGTTGAATAAATTAGTCTAAGCCACAGTCTTACCGAAGCCTATGTAGTGTTATTCATGAAGCAGGTACTAGACACAGGGGATTCTCAGGTGCTACTTCAGAAGCCAGGATGCACCTGCCCCTGGTGGTATGTGCTGAACACCGTGTGATGATCCTCAGTCCTGTCTGGGAAGCCCAGGGCTGGGGGTGCTGATGCTCTCAGCTGCCTGCAGCACATCTCCAGGTGATTCTCCAGTCCACACCTAACTGCGTGTGTTTTACTTCAGGTGTCAGTGTACATGAATCCACTACTCTGACTTCCCAATCTCATGACAGTAATTAGTTGTAACTTATTGTAACCTCATGGAGCAACTCTAAAGAAACCATAGAGAGAAAAGGAGTTTTGGAAAATGTGCTCCCAGAAGTGATAGCAATGATGGGGAATTGACAGCTGACGGGGAAGTAAGGTGACTCTTTCCACAAGGCTCAACATTTTGCCAGTTACGAATTGTTGCAAAACACATTTGAATGTGCTTTCAAGTATTACCAGTTCAGGGTCATAGCTGAAAAACTTTATTAAGTCACAGATAAAATGGGAAAATCAGGAAATTGTATGAAATATACAATAACACTGTGTGTGATGGCTCAGGTCTGTAATCCTGTGATAGTTAATACTGATTGTCAACTTGATTACATTGAAGGATGTAAGCATTGCTCCTGGGTGTGTCTGTGAGGGTGTTGCCAAAGGAGATTAATATTTGAGTCAGTAGTCTGGGGAAGGCAGACCCCCTACTTAATCTATGGGCACCATTTAATCAGCTGCCTGTGAATATAAAGCAGGCAGAGAAAAGTGAAAAAGTGAGTCTGACCCAGCCTCCCAGCCTACATCTCTCTCCCGTGCTGGATGCTTCCTACCCTTGAACATCGGACTCCAAGTTATTTAGTTTTGAGACTCGAGCTGGCTCTCCTTACTCCTCACTCCTCATGCCTGCAGACAGCCTACTGTGGGACCTTGTGATCCTGTAAGTTAATATGTAATAAACCTATATATATATATATATATATATATATATATATATATATATATATATATGTATATAGAGAGAGAGAGAGAGAGAGAGAGAGAGAACTTATTAGTTCTGTCCCTCTAGAGAACCCTCACTAATACGGATTTTGGTACCAGGAATGGTTCTGCAGGAACAGAATATTAAGGTTGGAGTTCTTTTGTTGGTTTTGGGGTTTCTGGATTTGGCTGCTAAATATGATTAGATCCCAAAATGCTAAGGACTCTACTTTTAATAGTGTAGAGAATATTGACAGTTCTTGGCATGAAAGGTTTAAAGAGTTATGGAAAACAAATTCATTTGACACTAATGAATCATCGCTTGTGAGAGGCAAGGAGTTTAGTGACTCTGTACCTAATAACCTTGACAAACACCTTGCAAAATAGATTTGTGAGGACAGCACCTGCATCTTTGAAGAGCCCTGTAAAGGCTCTTCTCTGTATGTCAGATCTAATGGTGAGAACTGCAGTCACTCAGTTACAAAAGTTAAATACAATTTGGAATAATTGGATC